>NC_000015.10:21599698-21778502 GCF_000001405.40 Homo sapiens
GGGTAGTGTGAACATTTTAACAATATTAATTATTTGAATCCACAAATGCAGGATTATCTTTCCATTTATTTCTGTCTTCAAATTTTTTTCATAAGTGTTTTATGGCTTCATTATAGGTATCTTTCACATCCTTGGTTAAATTAATTCCTAAGAATTATATTTTTTTATTTTGGAGCTATTGTAAATAAGATTGTTATCTTGAATTCTTTTCAGACAGTTGATTATTACCACATAAAAGTGCTGCTGATTTTTGTATGCTGATTTTGTATTCTGCAACGTTACTGAATTCACTTATCACTTCTAAGAGTTGTCTTGATAACGTTTTTATGTTTTTCTCTATATAAGATCATGTCATCTGCCATGAGAAACAATTTGACTTCTTTTCCAATTTGAATGCGTTTTATTTCTTTCTCTTGCTGATACTCTGGCCAAAACTTCCAATACTATATGAAATAGGTGTTGTGAAAGTGAGAATCCTTGTCGTTTTTCAGTTCTTAGAAGAAGGATTTTCTGTTTGTCCTACGTCAGTATGATTTTCACTGTGAGTTTCTGATATATGGCCTTTATTATGTTGAGGTATGCTCCTTCTATGCCTAAATTTGTTTAATTTTTATCATGAAGCAATGATAAATTTTATCAGATGCTGTTTTTGTATCTATTGAAATGATCATACACTTTTTGTCTTTTATTCTATCAGTGTAATGTATCAAACTTTTTGATTCATTTATACTGAATAACCCTTGAATTCCTGGAATAAAACCCACTTGGGCGTGGTGAACTGTCTTTTTAATGTGTTATTGGATTCAGTTTGCTAGTATTTTGTTGAGAATTTTTGCATCTAAGATCATGTTATTGCCTTGTAATTTATTTTCTTTCTTTTCTTTTTTCTTTCTTTCTTTTTCTTTTCTTTCTTTCTTTCTTTTCTTTTTTTTTCTTTCCTTCCTTCCTTCCTTTCTTTTTACTTACTTTCTTTCTCTCTCTCTTTTCCTTCCCTTCCCTTCCCTTCTCTTCTTTTCTTTCTTTCTCTCTCTCTCTTTCTTTCTTTCTTTCTTTCTTTCTCTCTCTCTTTTCCTTCCCTTCCCTTCCCTTCCCTTCTTTTCTTTCTTTCTCTTTCTTTCTTTCTTTCTTTCTCTGTCTTTCTTTCTTTCTTTCTTTCTTTCTTTCTCTCTTTCTCTCTCTCTCTCTTTCTTTCTTCTTTCTTTCTGACAGAGTTTCGCTCTTGTTGCTCAAGCTGGAGTGCAATGGTGCCATCTCAGCTCATTGCAACCTCCACCTCCTGGGTTCAAGTGATTCTTCTGCCTCAGCCTCCCGAGTGGCTGGGATTACAGGTGCCCACCACCATGCCCAGCTATTTTTTTTTTGTATTTTTAGTAGAGATGGGGTTTTATCATGTTGGCCAGGCTGATCTTGAACTCCTGACCTCAGTTGATCCACCTGCCTTGGCCTCCCAAAGTGCTGGGATTACAGGTGTGAGCCACCGTGCCTGGCTTTTTCTTTTTTTTTAGTTTACTTTAAACTTTGGTATGTATGTGGTAGGTGCATATATTTATTGAGTACATGAGATACTTAGATACAGGCATGTAATGCATAATAATCACATAATGGTAAATGGGGTATCCATTCCCCTCAAGCATTTTTATCCTTTGGGTTACAAACAATTCAATTACACTCTTTTAGTTACTTTAAAATGTACAATTAAATTATAATACACAATAGTCATCCTCTTGTACTATTAAATACTAGATTTTATTCATTCTTTCTAACTACTTTTTGTGCCCATTAACCATCCCTACCTGCCCTCCCATCCCCCTAACCACTATCTTTCTCAGTTTCTGATAACTTTCCTTCTACTCTATATCTCCATGAGTTCAATTGTTTTAATTTTTAGCTCCCACAGTAGGATTTATCCCAGGGATGCAAGAATGGTTCAATATGTGCAAATCAATCAATATGATAAACAATAAACAGTATGAAGGAGAATAAGCATATGATCATTTCAACTGATGCTGAAAAATTTGATAAAGTTCAACATCCATTCATCATAAAAATTCTAAAAAACTGGGTATAGAAGGAACAAACTGCAACATAATAAAAGCCATATATGACAGACCCACAGATAGAATTTTGCTGAATGGAAAGAAACTGAAAGCCTTTAATATCTGGAGCACAACAAGAATGCCAACTTTTACCACTTCATTGACTATAGTACTAGAAGTCCTAGCTAAAGCAGTCAGACAAGAGAAAGAAATAAAAGGCATCCAAATTGGAAAGGAAGAAGTCAAATTATCCTTGTTTGCAGATGATGTGATCTTGTATTAGGAAAGACCTAAAAACTCCACCAAAACACTATTAGAACTGATAAACAAATTTAGTAAAGTTGCAGGATACAAAATCAACATATAAAAGTCAGTAGCATCTCCATATGTCAACAGTGAACTGTCTGAAAAACAAATCAAGAAAGTAATCCCATTTACAATAGCTACAAATAAAATTAAATACCTAGGAATTAACCAAAAAAGTGAAAATCACTACAATGAAAACTATAAAACATTGACGAAAGAAACTAAAGAAGACACAAAGAAACGGAAAGATATTCCATGTTCATTAGCTGAAACAGTCATTGTTAAAATGTTATACTACCAAAAGCAATCTACAGATTCAATCTCTATCAAAATACCAATGCCATTCTTCACAGAAATAGAAAAAACAATCCTAAAATTGATATAACCAAATGACCCAGAATACCCAGAGCTATCCTGAACAAATAAACCAAAACTGGATAAATCACATTACCTGACTTTAAACTACACTATAAAGCTATGGTAACCAAAACAACATGGTACTGGCATAAAAAACAGACCCATAGGTCAATGGAACAGAATAGAGAACCCAGAAGCAAATCCGTACATCAACAGTGAGCTCATTTTCTACAAAAGTGCCAAGAACATACATTGGGGAAAGAACAGTCTCTTCAATAAATGGTGCTGGGAAAACTGGATATCCATATGCAGAAGAATGAAACAAGACCCCTATCTCTTGGCATATACAAAAATCAAATTAAAATGTATTAAAGGCTTAAATCTAAGACCTCAAAAAATTAAACTACTAAAAGGAAACATTGGGGGAAACTCTCTTAGATATTGGTCTGGGTAAAGATTTCTTGAGCAACACTCCACAAACACAGGTCACCAAAGCAAAAACGGACAAGTGGGATCACATCCAGTTAAAAAGCTGCTGCACATCCAAGGAAAAACAATCAATGTGAAGATCAAACCCACAGAATGGGAGAAAATATTTGCAAACTGCCCATCTGACAAGGGATTAATAACCAGGAAACAACTCTATAGGAAAAAACCCTAATAATCTAATTTAAAAATGGGCAAAGGATCTGAATAGAGATTTCTCAAAAGACAATACAAATAGCAAACAGATACATAAAAAGGTGCTCAAACACCATTGATCATCAGAGAAATGTTCCTCAAAGCTACAATGAGGTATCATCTCACCCCATTTAAAATGGCTTTTATCCAAACACAGGCAATAGCAAATGCTGGTGAGGAAGAGGAGAAAAGGGAACTCTCATACTCTGTCAGTGGGAATGTGAATTAGTACAACCACTATGGAAAACAGTTTGGAGATTCCCCCAAAAACTAAATGTAGAGCTACTTTACGATCTTGCAACCTCATTGCTAGATGTAGACCCGAAAGAAAAAATAGCAGTATAACAAAGAGTTATCTGCATTCTCATGTTTGTTTTAGCTTTGTTCACAATAGCCAAGATTTGGAAACAACCTAAGTTTCCATCAATAGATGAATGAATAATGAAAATGTGGCACATACATATACAATAGAGTACTATTCAGCCATAAAAAAAAATCAGATCATTTGCAACAACATGGACGGAAATGGGGATTATTGTGTTAAGTGAAATAAGCTAGGCACAGATAGACAAACTTCCCATATTCTCACTTACTTGTGGGAACTGAAAATTAAAACGATCGAATCATGCAGATAAAGAGTAGAATGATGGTTACCAAAAACTGAGAAGGATGGTGGAGGTGTGGGATGTGGAAAAATGGGGATAGTTATGGGTACAAAAAGATATAAAGAATAAATAATATTTAGTATTTGATAGCACAACAGGGTGAATATAGTCAATAATGATTCAATTGTCATTTAAAAATAACCAAAAGAATATAATTGGATTGTTTGTAACACAAAGGATAAATGCTTGAGGGGACGAATACCCCATTTACCATGATGCGATTATTATGTATTGTATGCCTGTACCCAAATATCTCATACTCTATAAATGTATACACCTACTCTGTACCCACAGAAATAAAAAATAACAAAACAAAAAACATTGTTTAGCAAGCCCAGCTAAGGGTCATCTGACTCTCTAGCAAATGTGATTTTGTTTAACTTACTATATATGAATTATGGAATCTCAGACATTGTATAATTACATATAGCTAGATGTTATAGAAAACTGCTACATTGTATCTTTTTAGTGTGGTAGAAAAGATAATCCCAAAGATTAAGGTCGTATTGCCCCTTTTTAGAGCTGTATGAAAAAATATGAATATTTTTGTTATGTTGATATTTTTAACTTTTAAGTTCAGAGGTACACGTGCAGGTTTGTTATATAGGTAAATCTGTGTCATGAGACATTAACTGGATTACATCAAATTTAACAATTTTATTTTAGTGTTCATTTTTTTGCTGTGATTATGTAAAATCACACTTTTCATATTCTTTTTGGAACGGACTTTGTTATCCTGCTATCCCTCATTAATTAAATACAGTTTTTGATGTGTTCATTATGTATTTGTTTGAGAATTATGTTTTATGATATTTAAAAATTAGACTGACAGTCTATAAAAAATTAAATTACTAATGACAACAGCTGTGTTTTCTGGATACGATCTATGAATAAATGCCAGTAGGTAAGCTGCTTGAGGTTTCAAGAAATCAGGTGTTGTATCAAGACACTCTATATTACCTTAAAGGATAAATACCAAGCTATCCCTGGAATTATCTCAGAGATAAATACCTTAGGTTGGTATTTATCCTTCAGCTTCTGCTACTTCAAGGAGCATGATTGAGATAAAAACCAGTGAGAATCTTCTTCAGATACAGACTGAGGCATTGAAAATGGATGGCATATACAAACAAATCAATGACAAATTACAAATAAATCAATCCAAAGTAAGTAAAATAAGTGGGTTCTGTTATGCAACAGGTCTAATTGCTTCAGAGCCTGCAGGTCCCAAGGTCAACTTCCTAGCAAGAACTAAATTTAACAGAACTCAAACAGCAGCAGCCTAGGGAATCCCAGGGCTCATTAAGCTAAGTAGTGTTGTAAGAACCATAGCAACCTCAGATACAGCTAGAGTCCTAGGGATAGGAGATATTTCCAGTTCATACAGCCAGCCGTCAACTAGGGCTTGGCTTATAAGGAAGCAATTAAGACATGTGCTGGGCAGCTGTGATGGTCACCTGAGGATTGTCCATTTTGCTGGCCTGAGGCTGAAGAGAGGGTTGGTAGGATGAATGGCAGGATAACATCTTCCTTCCTTGAAACCACATAGCTTCTGACAAGCAAAGATGTAGGTTTCTCAGATATATTTACTCAAAGCTCCCCTCCCCTTCCTGCTCCTCTGTCTGACTCTGATGCTATTTTTATGTTTACTGTTGTCCTCACTCTTTTTCTCTATATACTCTGGCATTGATCATTTTTAAATTTAAGAGATCATTTGAGTTTTGTTGTTTTAAATTTACACTTAGAAACATTCACAGAACAGTGAAATTCCTATAGCATCAAGGAATTCTAGGGCTAGTGGCATCTTAGAAGACAGTTGCAATATTTGGATACGATAGGACCAAATTTACATAACTGAAGGCACAGGTTTCATGGCAATATTGTCTTAAGACTACCTAATTCTGTTATAGTCCCTTCTAGATTCTGTTTTCCATTTCTTTAATTATTAAAGTTTCTTTTTACTAAAATCTTCTTTACGTTCCACAGGTACAATATAGAATGCAATGTTTCAAACAAGGCCAAAGAAGTTTAGAACAGAAAGATTGTTTCTTTCTCAATAGAGAATACCACTATAGGTACCATCTTCAACTAATGGTGTCCACTTCTTGGTTTTCAGGAGAAATTTAAAAATGCATCAAATGCGTCTAAAAGGAATTCATATGGAATTGAAACTCCAGCTAGCCAATTATTTTCTATTGTTGAGATAGTCAAATTTCCTCCTCTAATAATGCATTTAGCTCCACACAGACCAAAATAAATACAAGACAAACATAATAGCAAAATATGGTATACTGTTATGCTTAAAACACACACATGCACAAGTTACCAGGAGAAAAATTTTACTCCTTTTCTTCATATTTTCCTCATAAACATCTCTGGTTCCTTGTTTAGAAAGACGAGAGACCAGCTGCTCAGCTGTACACAAGTAGCCTTTGATTATTTAAGGTGCTTTAGTTTGTCCTCTTCTCTCTAAGCAGGACCCTTCCATAAAGACTTTCATTTTGCATTAAGCATTCTCAATTTTTTTGGCTCATTTTGTGTACTTAAAAATATTTTTATTGACTTTTTCACATTCTTAGGTTATTTTTAGGATATGAAACATGAAATGCTTGGTAGGGTCTGATCTTACTGCTAATGGGATAATGGAGCTGGTATTTTTGAATGTGGCTTTCCAAGCTCTGCAGGGCTTTGGCAAGGGAAATTATATTGTGACTGGGGTTAGTTTTGGGATGTAGACATTCATTCATGTTGTTGGGTGTATTGTTCTTTTTATTCTTTGCAGAACAGTGACAGGCTTAATTTCCTACTGTGATCAGACTTCAGAAGCTGGGAGATGACTCAACCAAATGTGGAAATGTTATTAAACCTAAAAGGGAGCTTTCTATATTGTTTAGTATTATGTTTTATATTGTCTGAAGATTGCAAATTTACTGTCATTAAAAAAAAAATCCAAGAATAACCAGAATCCAGCCCTTACCTTGATTAAAACTCAAATAACTAACATACAGGGCTGCCTATTTTTAACTTATGCAAGTGTAAAGATTTTTATATCATTATTAATCAAAATCTTATCACAGTAATCACCTAGGAACTGTTCAGAATATTTATAGTGCTGAAATTTCCTAATATTAAATCTTACTTTAAACAAGTAGGCCATAAAATCAGGCTTATAAATGGTTTGTAGTAATTTGGGTTATAACATATTTTACATATTCTTCTCTTATTTAATCTATCCTTCTGATTTATTTAATTTTAATATTGTCTGTTTTAATGTAATCTTTTCTTTCCCAACATATGTTCAGTGGAAATAACAAGTGTACCGTACACCCTTGGTATACTATGCCCTTCACATTAGGAAATAATCACATTGTTTCTCAGCCATATTCTGAGACTAAATTATAACAGTGTGTAGGATTATGTGTTCCCATTGTTTTCTGGCTTCTAGAAACCTTTTTTAATTAAAAAAATAACTTTGGTTTCTCTTTCTCAGACTTTTCCAGTTTTCCCAAGATTATTTTAAAAATTAGATGCATAATTTTAATGAGACTTGACCCCTGTTAATTATACATTTTAGATAACTGAAAAGAACATCAAAATGATGTTTTCTTATGGAACTTTACAATCCTTGGTGCATCCAAAAAAGATTAGAGAATTTCCAATATAGCAGAGCTCAAGTAGGGCTGTACACATAACAGCAAATCGTTCCCTAACTTGTATTTCTTGCTTTGGTTTATTTTCCAATTGACTCTAGAAAGTGAGGTGATTCCTTCTATCAGTTATGAGATTATAGATTTAGATGCACCTGTGCACTTGGCTATATAGGTAGATGAAGAGGATGGTCACAATCATGGTGTGACAGAGGCGTCCAAATGTGACTTGAGCCCCAAATCTCTCTCTCACTGGCTTATCTTGGAATAATACCCTAGAGAAAGTTTTCTTGTCATTAGAGGTTTTCATTTTTAGAATTTAAGTACTTTTCTGCATTGTCTATGTAAATACCTGATATCTATTATGAAGGATTTTATTGGATAACATTCTCTGAATGACTTGATAGAACCAAGTGCAACATGGATTACAAAGCTTGGAACACAAAATAAAATCTTGTCTTATTTCATATTTTGTCTATAGCTGGTTCTAGATAAAAAAAAATTCTAGACAGGGAGACATCTACTAATTTTTAACTACTGCAATGGAAGAAATGTATCAACATTCTCTGATTTTCTGTTTGTAATCCAAGGTACTGTCACCAAACATTGGGGATGAATATGAGTGTAGAGCAGGGGAAAATATATCTAACAATATCTTAGCAAATCTTTTATTTTCTTATGTATCTATGGTTGTTGAAAAGTCCAGAAGCAACACAACTCTGGTTTCTCTTATTACTTTGTCCTGTAAAAGGGTCATGGTGGGCTTTTGTGCATGCCTCCACGATATGGGTCATGGCTCTTGGTCTCTTGTCTTGGTGATTGGTGTCTTTTAATCATTGTCCTACTCATCCCCAGTCTGATGCTTCCCTAAATCTTAAAGATTGAGACTGTTTCTTCTTACCTCATTTTTACAAACTTCCCAATTTCTGTAACCTGGGATAGTAAAGACAAAAAATATGAGCTTTTTCAATCCTTCCTAAATGATTTGTTTCCTAATATATTTATTCACAGTAACTACTAAACTTTGTACAACATAGCAATTTGTTGTTTACAAAACATTCTTCCTTCGATTTGATAAATTATTGAGCTTCTGCTATGCAGTAAATATTGTGTTGTGGATACAAAGATGAGTAAGATATTTCCTCATCTTGAGAGATCTAGTTTTTTTTTATGGTGCACATAGGCATTACATTTGATTCTCAGAACAATCTTGGGAGATATTATTAACTCTGCATTAAATTGAATAACCAAAGAACAAAATTCAGAGAGGTTTATTTCCTTGCCTGAGAGTACTCCATTGGTAATGGTGGAGCTAGGCATTCGATCTAGATACTCCATTCCAGAACTTTTGTCCTTAGAGGACATTATTCTGTCTATTAAAAGAAATGGAAAGATTAGCACTTACCACCTCATGTCCAGGTCATTGTGTTTCTTTCTAGTTTATTGTGAATGCAATTTAAAAGTAGTACAGGAATAAAGAGTTGGAAGAAGTGAACAAAATTCAATGTTCTATCAATATAAGACTACTGCCTATACTACCTCATAGAATTTGCTAAAATAATTTTTATGTAATTTATGTATTACATACTATATATATAGTGTATATCTATATCTATCTATATAGATAGATACGTAGATAGATTGATACCTTAAATCTCCCTTGTTCTGATTTAATTCTTCTTTCTCTAGGTCACTTGATATTCTTGGCTTGATGAAAAAAAACAAGATTCTAACGTGACAGAACTTGTTCTTCTGGGCCTATCATCTTCTTGGGAGCTGCAGCTATTTCTCTTATTACTATTTTTGTTTTTTTACATTGCTATTGTCCTGGGAAACCTCTTGATAGTGGTAACAGTGCAAGCCCATGCTCATCTGCTCCAATCTCCTATGTATTATTTTTTAGGTCATCTCTCTTTCATTGACCTATGCCTAAGCTGTGTTACTCTGCCAAAGATGTTAGGGGATTTCCTACAGCAGGGCAAGAGCATCTCTTTTTCAGGATGCCTGGCCCAGATCTACTTCCTCCACTTTCTAGGAGCCAGTGAGATGTTTCTGCTGACAGTTATGGCCTATGACAGGTATGTTGCCATCTGTAACCCTTTGCGCTACCTTATAAGTCATGAACCCCCAGCTATGCCTTTGGTTGGTTCTTGCCTGCTGGTGTGGGGGTTTTATCCACTCTATCATGCAGGTCATACTAGTCATCCAGCTGCCTTTCTGTGGCCCCAATGAACTGGACAACTTCTACTGTGATGTCCCACAGGTCATCAAGCTGGCCTGCATGGACACCTATGTGGTAGAGGTGCTGATGATAGCCAACAGTGGTCTGCTCTCTCTTGTCTGCTTCTTGGTCTTACTATTCTCTTATGCTGTCATCCTGATCACCCTGAGAACACACTTCGGCCAGGGCCAGAACAAGTTCCTCTCTACCTGTGCTTCTCACCTGACAGTGGTCAGCCTGATCTTCATGCCATGTATATTCATCTATCTGAGGCCTTTCTGCAGCTTCTCTGTGGATAAGATATTCTCCATGTTTTACACAGTGATGACACCTATGTTGAGCCCCCTCATCTACACACTCAGAAATGCTGATATGAAGACAGCTATGAAGAAGCTGAGGATAAAACCATGTGACATTCCATTTCCTTGTTAAAGAATGAGCAGAAGAGGTGATTTGAAAAACATACTCTTTCTTGGAAGACTCTTAACTCATCTTGTACATGTCTAAAAACCATTTTGATGACTTTGGTATAAAAAAGATAGCCTAAAGATTATAATAGATCACTCTTGATTACAATTTAAAAGCACAGGTGGCACTCTGGAAAGCCACCTATGCCTTTTGACCATAATCAAGAGAACTCGGGAACTCAGTAGAATTTACTGGCCACAAATAACAAGCATTAATTGAAAGATCAACTTTTCTATCTTCATGTTCTAAGTACTCTTCATTTATTCAATTTGTTCCACTTTTTAATCTATTCAAATGAAACAAGATATATCTCTTTTTGTGTTCCTTTCCTCCAGCATTTAATGATTCCTAGTGTTAGGAAGTTCCTTCTGATGTCTCATCAGATCCTCTTCTGAAGTAGTGTGAATTTCTTTGTTCTGTTATAACAAAGCCTGAGAACAGTAACAACCACCTATGTAGTAGTATTTACCTCAGAACTGTGTTCCACAGTGTCCCAAGTTTTAGAAATGTAGTCAGGCATCACTCTAATGAACATATGCTCTTAGCAAAGTTTACGTGTGAGAGAAAGGAAGTCCAGGAGTGCAGGGGTGATGGAAGCTGTTAGTATTCTGTTGTAGAGGCTTCTCAAGAAGAGGTACCCAGTTTCACATTGAGTTTTTCTTTGAGTGGAATTACAGTGAGGGTGAATAGGTAAGCTGGCTCTTCAACTGACCATAATGTTTAAGAGTTTTAGCCTCGAAAGGAGGAAGAAATGAACTGTGGTTGAAAGCACTCATTCTTGAGATGCTCACAGTTATTACCTCTGAGTCTCAAACATGTTTGAGGAATAAATTTACCTAACTTCATTTTTGAAAATGAACTCTGAGTTAAGTGACTTGCCCATGACCACTTAGAAAAAATGTAATCAATCAAGAAAGCTGCTTGTAATCCCAGCACTTTGGGAGGCCAAGGTGTTCAGATCATCTGAAGTCAGGAGTTTGAGACCAGCTTGACCAACATGGAGAAACCCCATCTCTACTAAAAATACAAAATTAGCCGTGCATGGTGGCGCATGCCTGTAATCCTGTAATCCCAGCTACTCAGGAAGGCTGAGTCAGGAGAATCACTTGAACCCGGGAGGCAGAGGTTGCAGTGAGCTGAGATCGCACCACTGCACTGCAGCTTGGGCAACAAGAGCAAAACTCGGTCTCAAAGAAAAAAAAAAAAAGAAAGCTAATAATTATATAATTAAGTTAATATTTTATTTCTCCTCAGAAAGTGTATTTATCCCAATTATACAGATTGCTTCTTTCTTTCTCTTTCTTTCTGTGTCTCTTTCTCTCTTTCTTCCTTCCTTTCTTCTTTCTCTTTCTTTCTTTTTTTTTTTTTTTTTTTGAGACAGAGTCTTACTCTTGTCTCCCAGGCTGGAGTGCAGTGGCACGATTTTGGCTCACTGCAACCTCTGCCTCCCAGGTTCAAGTGATCCTCCTGCCTCAGCCTCCTAAGTAGCTGGGATTACAGGCACCGGCCACCATGCCTGGCTAGTTTTTGTATTTTTAGTAGAGACAGGGTCTCTCCATGTTGGCCAGGCTGGTCTTGAACTCCTGACCTCAGGTGATGTGCCTGCCTCAGCCTCCCAAAGTGCTGGGATTACAGGCGTGAGCCACGACACCTGGCTAGATTACTTAATTTCTATAATACCTGTATAGGAGCTTCAGAGCTGGAAGATCCCTAAAAAGGTTAACTTAAACATTTATATTTAAGATTATCTATCTCTGACATAGGATCCTTGCAATATTTTATGGCTATGAAAAGTCTTTATTCTATTTACTATATAATAAGATAATGACAAATTTTTATAATGTTTTTTATATTTTGTCACTTTATCTCCTAATGAATTGCCATAGAGAGGTATTTATGATTACTTAGCTGAAAAATATACTTGTGAAAAAAAGTCTGAAACTCCATCTAATACTAGGATATACTGGAAAATGCCAATAACCCTGGTCATGTAAGAGCTTTCTTGATATAGGGACAAAAAATGTATTTTTATTTTTGTGTTGGGAGTTAATGACTTCATATTTAAGAAGCCATATGTACGTATGTGTATATGTATATATTGCTACAGAAGGACTCCTCACAGACTAGGAACTAGGCTGCCATTTGGGAGATTTCTAAATAGTATGGGTGAGGGTGAGAATGGCATACCTGGAACATCATGTTCTTCTTTTTTGCTTTACTCTGCTCTACACTTTTAGAGTTTTTTGCATACGTTGAATATCCTGAAGAGCAGTATGATATCCTGAAGGTAATATTTTGAATATCCTGAAGTGCAGGAAACTGCCCGAGAGTAGTGTGTGAGTTACCAGAAAGATTTGAGTGGTGCTAGGGATTACCAGGCATGTTTCAAGAACATAGAGCTCCAGGCTTTCTCTTAGTATAAGCCGGCTGCAACATCCCCTTTTTCTGATGCTCTCTTTCATAGCAAAATGTATAGTCTTGGCAAATCATTTTAAATGTCCTGTTGATAGCTGGAATTGGTAGCGTTATTTTAAGAAAAGCAAGAGCGTTTTGTATTCCCTTTTGCATTTTCAAGTCTCTCTTTGTTTCCAGGAACAAAGCCTACTTGATCGTGGTGAATTAACTTACTGATGTGCCGCTGAATTTGGTTTGCTAGTATTGTGTTGAGGATTTTTGCATCTATGTTCATCAGGATATTGGCCTGATGTTTTCTTTCTTTGTTTTGTTTCTGCCAGATTTTGGTATTAGGCTGATGCTAGCTTCATAGAATGAGTTAGGGGGGAGCCCTTCCTTTTTGATTTTTTTGGGAATACTTTCAGTAGGATTGGTACCATTTCTTCTTTATATGTCTGGTAGAATTCAACTGTGAATTCCTCTGGTCCTGGGCTTTTTTTGGTTAGTAGAGTTTTTTTTTTTTTATTACTGATTCAATTTCAGAGCTTGATATTGACTTATTAAGGATTACAGTCTCTTCCTAATTCAATTTTAGGAGATTGTGTTGTTCCAGGGATTTATCCGTTTCTTCCAGATTTTCTAATTTGTGTGCATACAGTTGTTCATAGTATTCTCTGAGGATCTTTTGTATTTCTGTGGGATCAGTTGTAATGTCATTTTTGTACTTTTTGACTGTACTCATTTGGATCTTCTTTTTTTTTTACTTTTTTTTAATCTAACTAGCAGTCTAACAATCTTATTTTTTCAAAAGACTAACTCTTGGTTTCATTGACGTTTTGTATAGATTTTTGCACCTCACTTTCATTAAGTTGTTCTCTAATTTTTGTTATTTCTTTTCTTCTGCTAGCTATGGAGTTGGTTTGTCCTTTATTTTCTAATTCCTTGATGTGCAAAGTGCAGGAGGATGAAGCTAGACCCTTGCTTTTCAGCATGTAAGAAAATTAACAGGATAGATTAAAGATTTAAATGTAAGGCCACAAACTATGAAAATCCTAGACCAAAATCTAGGAGATATTTAGAGACTTTTAATCTAATTGAGAAATTGGAAACTGAGTCTTCCTCTCTTGATTAAATAAAATGTTACTTTTCTATAGGTGAGTAGCATACATTATATTTGAAGGATTCTGAAATTTTATACATCAGATCTTATACTCTGACTTCATGCTTTTATTTACAGCCTCAAAAAATTAATTAATTTATTTAAACAAAGTTCTCACTCCAAAGTAAATTTCTGACAAGAGAAGTTGGAGGTGGGGGGAGAGAGAGCGCTGATTAGGGAAAAACATTAAATTCAATAAAAAAGACTCAGATTCTCTAGGTTCTTGTATGGAAAAGAGGAACTATAAGACTAATTATGAAAGAAATTCAAATGTGAGTCAATAGTGTGGAAATCAAGCTAAAGACAAGAAAAATATTCATGAACTATGTTCAAGAAATATGAAGAACTTTCTCTACCATATTTAACATCATATAGGTGTTTTCACAAGACTCTTACTGATAGGCTTTACTATGCTTACCATGGTTTATAACGTGTTTATTTTTGCAGAGAACCAGAGTCACTCCACGAGTCCTGCCTGGGGCCCCATGAAAGTGGCCAACAATGTCACTGAGTTTATATTCCTGGGACTTTCCCAAGATTCTGGAATGCAATTGATGTTCTTTGTCTTATTTCTCCTCTTCTACGTCGTGATCATGGTGGGAAATTTGCTCATTTTGCTTATGGTCTTTTCTGACTCCCGACTACACACACCCATGTATTTCTTCCTCAGTAACCTGTCTTTTGTGGACATTGCCTGTTCCTCAGCCACAGCACCCAAGATGATTGAAGACTTTGTTTCTGAGAAAAAGACTATTTCCTACTGGGGCTGTATAACTCAGATGTTTACCTTCCACTTTTTTGGTTGTGCTGAGATTTTTGTTTTGACTGTCATGGCTTTTGATCGCTATGCTGCTATCTGCCAACCCCTCCGTTACACTGTCATCATGAGTGCTAATGCTTATACTGTGCTGGCATCACTGTCCTGGTTGGGGGCCCTGGGTCATTCCTTTGTTCAGACCGTCCTGACCTTCCAGCTGCCCTTCTGTAATGCTCAGGTTATAGACCATTACTTTTGTGATGTCCACCCAGTCCTAAAACTTGCCTGTGCTGATACAACTCTGGTAAATATGTTGGTGGTTGCCAACAGTGGTCTCATCTCCCTGGGGTGTTTCCTCATTCTTTTGGCCTCCTACACAGTCATTCTGTTTAGTCTTCAAAAACAGTCTGCAGAGAGCTGACAC
The DNA here is from genome assembly GCF_000001405.40 of Homo sapiens. Lineage (NCBI taxonomy): Eukaryota > Metazoa > Chordata > Mammalia > Primates > Hominidae > Homo > Homo sapiens. Next base: position 21,614,814 of record NC_000015.10, read on the forward strand.
AAAGTTCTCTCTACCTGTGGATCTCATCTGACTATAGTAACTTTCTTCTTTGTTCCGTGTATCTTTATTTATCTCCATCCACTACTTTCCCATTGGATAAAGCTGTGTCTGTGTTCTATACCACCATCACCCCAATGCTGAACCCACTCATCTATACTCTGAGGAATGAGGAGTAAAGAATGCCATGAGGTGGCTATGGAGTAGCAAGATCTCCTTGAAGGAAAAGCAGAGAGGATAGTTTGTCAGAATTGCAAAATCACTGAATTAGTGGATACCTTCAATGATCCCTAATTTACTAATAATTAAAAAAACAGTTCCTAAAATGCAGCTTTTATATTTTGTCTAACAGGAAATAATTTGAGGCTATTTTAGACGGGCTAAACTTAAACCTTTCCATACTTGGCAAGGTTTATTCTCTCTTCTAGAGTACAAGAGTTAACACTCCTACTCAATATCTCATTTAACCTCGTTAAATCCCTTCTATTCACATCAAACTCTCTTAAGCTACCATTCAGTAATTTAGAGTGGGGTTATAAGAGAAAGATATCCCTGATCATATCTTCTCACCATATCATGTCTCTTCAAAAAAGAGGTCTAATTTACCAGAAGCTGCACCTTTTCCCTCCTTCTTTTGTTTTCTTTTTCGTCCTTCTCTAGTCTTTTCTTATACATATTGCAAAATCTAGTCAGGGAAACAGATTTGCAAGGAGATAATTACAATACAATACAACAAATGCAGACATAGAAATACATACTTCCTATAATGAAGAGGGTTAGTATAAATCAACAAATTGCCCAAAGGATGGTTTCTGTGCAGGAAAAAAAAAAATAGAACTTTACATATTTTGAGGTGGACAGCAATTTCTTCAAAGACCCTCTTGGAGAATTTGAATACTCTTCTACCCATTACTATAATACTATCTTTACTGAAAGAAATCTTACTTTTTTGCCAATAAAAACAGACTAGATTAAAGCAACTAAAATGAGTTGGTATTTGTACCATTGAAATGACTAAGGAGATGTAATTCTATTATAAATTTTTAGTTGAACTTGTCTTCAGTTCCTTAAAACAACAAAATGGAATAAGCACATTTTCTTCTTGTGGTATTCTTAGTAAAGTTGAAAAATAGTTAAGTATTCTCAGTATTCTGGAAAAGGCATTTTTCTTCTAAGAAATTTTCTTAGATCTTGTCTCATGACTGATGTTGTTCAAGAATTCTGCCCTGATTATTTTTGTTCAACATTTATTTTCTATATGCCTTAAGCAATCCTGTATGCAATTTATAAAATATCACTTACCTTTTTCTCTTTTTTAGTGGATTTTTATCTGAGATCTACAACTTATGAAGAATACAAATGATGTATATTCTTTTCTACTCTTCATGTATGGACTAGAGGGGCTTGCACAGTAGGTACTTGTCAAAATCTGTTGATTGTAACTCCAATTTCTATTTTTTTCCTTAGTAATGGGGACCTGACATTATTCATGGTGGCCCAACTAAAATATTGCATTGACTTGCCTCAGGCTCTTTTAAACTTCAATTCAATAATTTAGAATGACCTTATAAGAAAAAGATATTCCTTTTGAAGCCCAGTGGACAATCTGATGTTAATAGTAGTTGGTTGGTGGGACTTTTGAAAAGTCTTTAAAATGGTTTGTCTACTCCAGCCCTCTCATACATGATCACCATTAACATTTTGATTATTAAAATTTCTTTATAGTTATTGCATGTCCTTATAGTTATTTTCATATTACTTTCCCTTTGCAAAAGGGTCATTCTATCCTTTTTTTAAACTCCTGATTTTTTAAGATAGACAACAAACCCACAAATTATATTAAAAATGATAGAATACATTAGGTTTCCTTTTCCCTCCTAAGAGCAAAGTATTAATAATAAAAATAACAACACTTGCAGTAAGAAAAAAATGGCTGAGACCCACAGGAACAAAGAAACAGGACAGGAGTTAGATGCAGAGAAGAGATTTCAACAAAAGTTTGGAAAAGGTAAGACAAAAAAGTAGTAACTGATTTGGGAGGGTCGGGAAGGCTAAGTCTAAATTCCCAACAAGAGGAATAGTGAGGAAAAGGGGAGAGATTCATTTCCTGGAATCCCTACGATGATTGGGATGCAGGATGCCAGGTCAGCGGGAGGTGAGGTTCAGGGCTGCTAATGAAGATTAAGAGAAAGGAACAGTTCAATCTTCTATCCTCTCTTTCTGCTCCCAGATGCTAACGGTAGCATATGAGTCACAGACAGAACATTGGCACCTTTGTTTAAGAAACTGAATGTTAATGTCACATCTGCCTTTGGAGATTACAAATGAAATGGCTACCTTTCTACTGGAACCCTGACCAGAAGCCTGCCAGTTAGTAAGCTGGCTTAAGAGATCAATCTAAAATTTACATAAGGCTTTTGAAAAAAAGAAAAAAGTAAGTCTTTAAAAAAGCCAAAAGGAAACTGGTGGAATTAGAGGTAATTCGGGGGGGGGGGGGGGAACTGTAAAAAACTGTATCTTCTCATCAATGAAAGAAAATATTTGTAATCTTGAAATAAGAATATGATGTACTGAAAAAATATAGAAAAATTATTTTTGGAAGGTAAAATCAAAAAGAACAATAAAATTAATATGGCATTAAAAGAAATAAAACAAGTAGTCAAAGAAGTCATAAAAGTACAGTCTCTATGAAAGTAGAATGAAAATGTCAAAGAAATAGAAAACATGAAAGATAAAAACAAGAAACACAAGGAATCAAGTTAGGGGCAAACCATTCAACTCACACATATTCCAGGAGGACAAATTAAACAGAAGGATGGATTTAAAAGAAACAATGAAAATAAATTTCTTAGAACAGAAAAGCTTAATTTTCTCGATATGAAAGATTTACTGAATGCCCACCACAAGATTTAAAAAAAATCCCAAGGCACGTTATTATGAAATTTTATCACCTTAACGATTGAAAATATTGTAAAATTATTAAGAAAAAACCGTATAGCTCACGAATGAACAGAAATTCAAATGGCATGAGTATGCTCTGTAGCAAGCTCATCCTTAGAATACAGTGGAAAAGTTTCTCACACTGATTTTCAGGCTAGAATTCTATACAGAACAAATCTATCAGGAAGATAGAATAAAGCATATTTAATCATACAAAAATTTATAAAGTTTACTTCATAAGTACTCTCTTTTTTTGAAAGTGTGGGATAATATATCCCAGCAAAACAAGAGGAAGAAATGAGATCAATAAACTAATATATGCAATGCAGGGTGGCTAAAGCCACTTTAAAAAAAATCCCAATCTCTTTTTTCTTTCTTCATGTGAGTCAGGTAATGTATATATGTCATAAGGTTTGAGGGAGGTACATTTCACACAGGAGTGCAAAAACTCAGTCATCACGCTTATGAACTACGAAGGGATCAAAAGGCACTTTTAAGATGACAGATGTACAGTAGGCATAGGAGACAACAGAAATGGATGAAAGCAGAAGATGGAAGCCCTCCAGGTTCATAAAACAGAAAGGAGAGTGTGAAAATTTATATTATCTAATATATAGAAACATCTTAGTTGTAAAGGTACAGTCAATAAGATGAAACAAGTTGATACACTCAAGGAAGGATACATTTATAGAAAATTATATCATTTAGAGTTCCAACAGGAAGTTAATGACACACTTAATATAGGATAATTTGATAAACATTTATTTAACGAGATGCTGTCTATGAATTTATAGGTATAGAGTACCACACAGGCCAGGGGTAAGATGGGGTGGAGCTGTTTACACCATTGTGCCTGAAGGGACTGAGAGAGGGAGGAAATACAGAAACCCCAAAAAGAGATATTTATGATAGCCATTTGAAAGGAGGAATGACCTTCAGTGGGAGGTCAACCAGCATGTGGCCACATGGTCTAGCTTATTCTCCTTCATTCCCCTTTTCCAGTTTTATTGAAGTATATTTGACAAATAAGAATCATACATATTTAAATGTGCAACTTGATGTTTTGAACTATGTGTACACTGTGAAATGATCATCACACTTAAGATAATTAACATATCCATTACCTCACAGGGTTATGTTTTTCTGTGTGTGGTGTGAACCCTTAAGATCTACTCCCTTAGTACATTTCAGTTGTCCAATACAGTATTGCATTGTAATACAGACACCATGTTGTGCATTAACTCTCCAGAACTCACTCATTTTTGCATAACTGAAACTTTGTAACCTTTAGTCCATTATCTCCTCATTTCTCCCTTTCCTTTCCACTCTTGGCAACCGCCATCCTACCTTCAGTTTGAGTATTTTAGATTCCACACATAAGTGAGATCATGCAGTATTTGTCCTTCTGTAAGTTGCTTTTTAAAGGCTGAATAATACTCCATTGCATATATATACTACAATTTTCTCAGGCTTTATTGAGGTATGATTTACAAATAAAATTTGCATATATTTAGGGTATATGCATACTTATGAAATGATTACCACAACCAAGCTAATTAATATATTCATCATGTTACATCATTACCATTTGTGTATAATGTGTGTATGTGTGTGTGTTAACACTTGAGATCTACTTTCTTAGCAAATTTGAAGCTACTGTACATTTGGTCTCCAGTACTTACTCATCTTGTAGCTGAAAGTTTGTACCCTTTGACCAACATCTTTTTCCTGGCATTTCCCAGCCCCTGCTAACCACCACTCTACTGTCCATTGCTATGAGTTTGATTTTTTTAAATATTGCACCTGTATGGGATATCATGTAGTATTTGTCGTTATGTATCTGGCTTATTGCACTTAGCATAATGTCCTCCAGGTTTATCCATGTGGCAAATGGCAGGATTTCCTTCTTTTTAAGGCTGAATAATCCATTGTGTGTGTTTGTACCACATTAAAAAAATCTATGCATCTGTAGATGAACACTTAGTTTGTTTCTATATCTTGGCTAGTGTTACAATGCTGCAGTGAATTTGAGAGTGCAGATATCTCTTTAAGATAGTGGTTTTATTTCTTTTGCATACATACCTAGAAGTGGGATTGCTGTTATTATATGAGAAGTTTTTTTTTTTTTTTTTTTGAGGAGCCTACATACTGTCTTCAATAATGGTTGCACTAATTTATATCTCTACCAAAAGTTTACAAGGGTTTTGTATTAGTCCGTTCTCACACTGCTAATAAAGACATATCTGAGACTAGGTAATTTATATAGGAAAGAGGTTTAACTGACCCACATTTCAGCATGGCTGGGAAGGCCTCAGGAAACTTATAGTCACAGTCATGGTGGAAGAGGAAGCAAACATGTCTTTCTTCACATGGTGGCAAGAGAGAGAAGACTGAGAACTGAGTAAAGGATAAAGCCCCAGGTAAAGTCATCAGATCTTGTAAGAACTTACTCACTATCACTAGAATAACATGAGAAAACTGCCCCCATGATTCAATTACCTTTCACTGGGTCTCTCCCATGACATGTGAGGACTACGGGAACTATAATTCAAGATGGGATTTGGGTGGGGACACAGCCAAACCATATCAGGTTTCCTTTACATCCTTGCCAACACATGCTATCACTGGACTTTTTGATAAAAGGCAATCTAACAGGTGGTTGGTGATATCTCAGTGAGGTTTTGATTTGCCTTGATGATTTCTGATTTTGAGCATTTTTTCCATATACCTGTTGGCCATTTGTGTATCTTCTTTGGAAAAATATCTATTCAGATCCTTTGCCCATTTTATGAAATCATTTTAAAAATATCTTTTGCCCATTTAGAAGCTTGTTTGTTTGCTATTTGGTAGTATAAGTTCTGTATATATTTTGGATATTAACTCCTTATTGGATGTATGGTATACAAATATTTTCTCCCTTTCTGTAGATTTCTCTTTCATCAAACAAATAAAGATGAGACCAATATCCAGGAACTTTTCCCCATGTTTCCTCCTAGGAGTTTATGGGGCCAGGTCTTATGTTAAGTCTATAATCCACTTTGAATTAACTTTTGTGATTGGAATAAGAGAAGCACGGATTCTTTGCATGTGGATATCCAATTTCCCAACATCATTTATAGACGAGTCTGTCCTTTACATTGTATATTCTTGGTACCTTAGTTGAAAAAATTAGCTGACTGTAGGTATGTGAGTTTAGTTCTGAGCTTTCTATTCTGTTTTATTGGTATACATGTTTTTATGCCAGCAACATCTGTTTTGATTATTACAGTTTTGTAATGGAGTTGAAATCAGGAAGTTTAATACCTCTAGCTTTGTACTTATACTCAAGATTGCTTAAGCTTTTCATGCTCTTTTATGGTTGCATATGAATTTCAGAATTATTTTTTCCATTGCTGTGAAAAATGTTCATTGCCATTTTGATCGGGATTGCGTTGAATGTACAGATCATTTTCAGTAGTATGGACTTTTTAACAATATTAATTCTTCCAGTTCATGAATATGGGATATGTTTCACTTATTTTTGTCTTCCACAATTTATTTCATTAATCTTTTATACTTTTCAGTGTACAGATATTCTACCTCTTTAGTTAAATTTATTTGTAAGTATTTTATTCTTTTTGCTGTGCTCATAATGATAACTTTTTCTTGACTTTTTCTTTCTATAGATCATTATTGGTGTAAAGAAATGCAACTGAATTTTTCTGTTGATTTTGTAGTCTGCAAAATTACTGAATTTGCTTATTAGTTCTAACAGTTTTTTAGTGGAGTCTTCAGGATTCTTTCTACATAGGATCATGCCATCTTCTAACAGAGACACTAACTTTTTTATTTGGATGCACTTTATTTCTTTTTCCTAATTACTTTGGTTATGACGTCCAGTACTATGTTGAATGGAAGTGGGGAGAGTGGTCTTGTTCTTGATCTTAGAGGGAAACATTTCAATTTCTCATCGAGTATAATGTTTATCATAGGCTTGTGATATACAGGCTTTATTGTGTTGAGGTACATTCCTATAATTAATTTGTTGAAAATTTTGTATTGTGAAAGAATGTTGAATTTTGTCAAATGATTTTTCTGCATTTGTTTAGATGATCTCATGGTTTTTATTTCTTATTCTGTTAATGTGGTGTAGCACATTTGTTGATTGTGTATGTTGGATAATTCTTACATCCCAGGAATAAATCCTACTTTGTCGTGATGCAAAATCTTTTTAATGTCCTGGTATATTTGGTTTGCCAGTAGTTTGTTGAGGATTGTTGGACCTTTGTTCACAAGGGACATTGGCCTATAATCTATATTTCTTGTTGGTGTCCTTATCTGGGTTTGGTATGAAGGCAGCGTTGGCATTGTAAAATGAGTTTTAAAATATCCCCTCCTCTTCAACTTTTTGGAAGGATTTTAGAAGGATAGGTATTAGTTCTTTTCAAAATATTTGGTAGAATTCAACTATGAAGCCATCAGGTCCTAGGATTTTCTTTGATAGGAGATTTTATTATTGATTCAATCTCCTTACTCATTACTGTTAAGATTTTCTAGCTTTTCATGATTCAGTCTTGTAGGCTGTATGTGTCTAGGAATTTATCCATTTCTTCTAGGCTATCCAATCTTTTGACTTGTAATGGTTCATAGTATTATCTTATGATTCTTTATATTTTTTGTAGCATCAGTTGTAATGTTTCCTTTTTCATTTTGGCTTTTATTTATTTAAGTCTATTTTTTCTCAGTGTAGATCAAGTATTGTTGATTTTATTTATATTTCCAAAAATCAATCTTAGTTTCATGATCTTTTCTACTGTTTCTCTAGTCTCACTTTCATTGATTTCTTTTCTAATCTTTGTTATGTCCTTTTTTTCTAACTTTGGGCTTAGTTTGTTCTTTTTTTAGTTCATTGAGCTGTAATGTTAGGTTGTTAATTTGAGACCTTTCGTCTTTTTTTTGTAAACATTTATTACTATACATTTCTCCCTTAAAACTACTTTTGCTGCATCTCATACCTTTTTGTATGTCATGTCCATTTTCATGTGTCTCAAGATATTTTTACATTTACCTTTTGACTTCTTTTTTTGGCCCATTGGTGGTTGTTTAATTTCCATATGTACATGAATTTTCCAGTTTTCCTGTTATTATTGATTTTAGTTTCATACCACTATGGTCAGAAAATATATCTGATATGATTTCAGTCTTCTGAAATTTGTTAAGACTTGTTTGTGGCTTAACATACAATCTGTCCAGGAGAATATTCTGTGTAAGCTTGAGAAGAATGTGTGTTCTGCTGTTGGATCAAATATTCCGTGTATGTCTATTAGATTCATTTAGTCTGAAGTAGTTCAAGACAATGTTTTCTTAATAATATTCTTTCTGGATGATTTATCCATTGTTGAAAATCAGATATTAAAGTTCTCTATTAATATTGCATTGCAGTCTATCTCTTGCTTTAGATTTGTTAATATTTGCTTTATATATTTAGGTGCTCTGATGTTGGGTGTATTCATATTTATAACTGTTCTATTATCTTGATGAATTGACTTTTTTACCAACATCTAATGACCTTCTTTGTCTCTTGTGACAGTATTTAAAGTCTATTTTGTGTGATACACATGTAACTGCTACTGCTCTTTTTTGGTTTTCATTTTCATGGAATATTTTTGTTTTTTATCCCTTTACTTTTAGTCTATGTGTGTTATTAAAGGTGAAGTGAGTTTCTTGTAGGCAGCATTTAGTTGGATCTTATTTTTATAAATCAATTCAGCCACTTTTTGTCTTTTGATTGACAAAATTTGCTTATTTATAGTTGGTAAGTAAAGATTTATTATTGTCAATTTATTGTTTTCTGGTTGCTTTGTAGGTCCTTTATTCCTTTATTACTCCTTTGTTGTTTTCCTTTGTGATTTGATCATTTTCCTCGGTGGTATGCTTTGATTCTTTTCTGTTTATCTTTTGTGTATTTACTATAGGTTTTTAATTTGTGGTTGCCATGAGGCTTACATAAATATTCTTATTGTTTAACCAATTCACTTAAAGACGATAACATCTTCACTTTGATTGCTAAAGAAGCTCTGTACTTTTACTTCCCTTCTCTTACATTGTGCTTTTGATGTTACAGTTTACATTTTTTATATGTCTTAAGAATTTATTATAGCTATAGTCATTTTTCATACATTCATCTTATAACTTTATAATGATGTTGTGATTTACACCACCACCATTATGGTGCTTGAATATTCTAAATTTAACCATATATATACTTTACCAGTTAGTTTTATATTTTTATATGTTTTAATGTTACTAATTAGCTGCCTTTTATTTAATCTTAAAAATCCCCCTTTAGCATTTCTTGTAAGGCAAGCAATAGTGAAGACTCACTCAACTTTTCTTTTTTTTTTCTAAAAAAGTCTTTATCTTCTTCATTTCTGAAGGACAGCTTTGCTGGCAAAATATTGCTGGTTGGCAGTTTTATTTTTCTTCCATTGCTTTGAATATATTATTTCATTCTCTCCTGATCCTCAAGGTTCCTGCTGAGAAATCCACTGATAGCTTTATTTGGGTCCTTTTTTATATGACATGATTCTTTTCTCTTGCTGCTTACAAGCTTCTCTCTTTGTTTTTGATTTTTGCCAGGTTGATGATAATGTATGTTTGTGGATTCTTTTTTTGGTTGAATTGACTGGAGAACTTTAGGCTTCATGCATCTGGATGCTCATTTCTTTCCTGACATTTGCTAAGTTTCCTATGATTATTTCCTTAAATAAGCTTTCTATCTAATGCTCTCTCTATTTTTCTTCTGAACCTACTATAATTCTAATGTTAGCTCTCTTGATAGTATTCCATGGCTTCTGTAGGTTTTATTCTTTTTTTTCTTTTATCTCCACTTACCGGATGATTTAAAATGCTCGGTCTTTGAGTTCACTTATTTTTTTATTCTGCTTCACTTAGTCTGATGTTCAAGCCTCTATTACATTTTTTTAGTTTAGCTGTTGTATTTTTCAGCTCCAACATTTCTGTTTGGTTCTTTTTAAAATATTTTCTGTCTCTTTATTGAGCTTCTCATTTTGTTCTTGGATTGTCTTCCTGATTTCATTAAACTATTTATTTGTGTTCTCTTGTAGTTCCCCAAGATTCCTTAGGCAATTATTTTGATTTTTTCCAGGCAATTTATAGATCTCCAATTCTTTGGGGTTGGTTACTAGAAATTAATTTTGTTCCTTTGGTGGTGTCATGTTTTCCTGCTTCTTTGTGATCTTTGGGTGTTGATTTTGTCAGTGACTAAACCTGCTGGAGTCCTCTGTGGAGTTAAGTACTATAGTTTGTGCAATGATAATTGTGGGTTCCTTGGTAGTAAAAGCAGTGTGGTATGTGCAGCTGATAATGACAGGAGACAGACAGATTCCTAGGCAGACAGGGATAAGTCCCTGGTGAATCCCAACCTTCAAGCCAAAGACAACCTGAGGCCTGAAAACCAAGCCGCCAGTTCCAGGTGGAGTCCACGACCCAACTGAGAACTTCCTCAGTGCCTTTTAGTCAATTAAATGGTGCTTTTTCCAGGCCTGCCCATGAACCAATCAGCACAGATTCCTCCATTCTGAGCCCATAAAAACCCCAGACTCAGCCTCACAGATGGCTCTCTGCTTTCAGCCCCACTCTTACACAGAGGGCTGCCCACTTTGGCTACTCTCTTGTTGTCAAGAGCTTTTCTGCCGCTCAATAAAAATCTCATCAGCCTTGCTCACTCTGCGGTGTCTGCATGCTTCATTCCTGTTGGTTGCAGGACAAGAATCCAGGATCCACTGAACAGTGGGTGCGAAAAGAGCTGTAAGATACACCTCCTGTTCACCAAGCTACAGAAGTGAAAAAAAAATGCTGGGTGCCACAAGTCCCCAATTGCTGAGCTGTGGGCAGCAGGACTGAATGAGCTGTGACACATCCCCATTTGCTGAAACTGCCAGCAGTGAGAACGAACAAGAGCTGTAACACTTCCTGGGGGCTCAGACCTTGACTCCCAGAGCAAAAGCTGTAACACCTCTTCGGGCTCCACAGTTGCTGGCATCTCTGAGTTTTTGGGCACTGCTGCATCCCCCTTATCCAGATGCCAGCGCTCAAGGCAGAAGTCAGTCATAGCATGCCCAAACCAACCGTGGGCTGAGCACTGAGCTACGGTGGGTGTCATGGCATCTGGGTGAGTGAGCATGAGTGGAGCACAGCCTGCCAGGCCAAATGAGCAGGACGAGCTCAGAGGGCCTGAGTGAAGCCTCAGCAGAGGCTCTGCTGGCCATCGAGATTTCCACTTGGCAAAGTGGCCCTCAAAGAATCCTGTGTCACATCCATGAGGGCTGTTGAGGTCCTTGGTATAGAAGGCTACCAGAATTCCGCTCAGATCAGGCTACTGGGGACTGCATTGATTCCTACCACAGGACTGATACTGATAGACCTCATCATTTCTCTTTCTTACCAGCAGTTTACAGATTTCTCTCCTATGTTGGTCTCCCTAGCAATCTGGGATGGGTGAAACTTAAGCTGGTTGTTTGGGCAATGCTCCAGTAGGCTGGGTAAGATGGTTCACTCCACTCTTCTTTTCTCTGCAAGGGGAACTTGCAAGCTGAGCAGTGACCTCTCCATACTGAGCACTGCCAGCCTGAGGAAGATGACGCAGGCAAAATGAAACTGTTTTTTCTACCATTTTTTTGTGTTTTTTCTTGAAGTTTTTCTGTCTGCTCTGTTGTTTTAACTTCTGAAGTAGATTCCTGATCTCTGCTAGATATTTTCATTTGTGGATATTTGCCCAGTTGTTGTTCCTTTAGGAGGAATAAAGACTGAGATCACCTACTCTGCCATTCTAGCTGATGTCTAACACATTTTCTTTGTTCATCTGTCTATGGACTTTTAGGCTGTTTCCATATCTTGGCTTTTGTGAATAATGCTGTAGTAAACATGGGTGTAAAGGTATCTCTTTGAGGTTCTGATTTCAATTCTTTTGGACATATTCCTAAAAGTGGGATTGCTGAATCATATAATAATTTTGTTTTTAATGTTTTGAGGAACTGACACATTATTTTTCATAGTGACTGCACCATTTTCTATTTCCACCAAAAGTGTATAGGAGTTTCAATTCCCTAAATTCTAGCCAACACTTCTTTTGTTTTTTGATAATAGCCATGCTAATAGGCATGAGGCAATATCTCATTGGTGTTTGGATATGCATTTCCTTAACAACTAGTGATGCTGAACATATTTGCTTATACCTGTTGGCCATTTGTGTATTTCCTCTGAGAAATGTCTTCAAGTTTTTCACCCACTTTGAAATTGCATTATTATCATTATTATTTTTGCCATAGTATGACTGATTTTTAAGTGCTTCTTATATAATGGAGTTATTTAAATTTATTTTTTTCTGTTCATTATTTGCCTGTTAAATTTGTCTTTATTTTCTAGTAATTTTAAATTGTTTTAATTTCTAACATTTTCCCCTATATTTGTGTTTGCCATTGATAAATTTTAAATTTCATTATCAAATATGCTATAACTCTTTTCTTATTGTTTTTCCTTCATAGGGGCAGGATATACTTAAAAGTTTTTATTTATTCCAAAATAATTTAAATAGTCTCTCTATGTTTCTAGTAATTAAAAAAATTACTCCTTTGCAATTTATGTTAAGTATAAGTTATAAAATATAATTCTTTTAAAAAATCTGGTTAACCAGTTGTTCCAGCACAACTTATTTTGTCCTCTGGGACAATAGAATTGAAAATGCACGTCATACTCTAGAGAGCACATATTGTACATCGTAGCATTTTCCACCCCTAATCCTGGGAAATTCGCCATTTTTCTTACTTCTTCTGTGAAACTCAAAAGTTGTGTTTCTGTGCTCTTTGGATGAAGTGCAAATCAACTTTTAAATTATTCCCTCAGGGCTTATGTTCCTACTTGGCTTCTCCTGGCCTCCAGAGGATTGATTTTTGTAGTTACAGCTCATGCTGCTAGTTAGTTTACTGTTACATCAGGGCAGAAACTGATGCATACCAACATGTACCCAGGATAAAGTCCTCCACTGCGGGTGGTGGAAGAGGCTTCTTCTACCTCCTCCCCATAGTTCCTGAAGGCACCAAGACTGTCACAGTAATTGGTAGGTGGAATGTTGTTATAACATTTACATAAACCATCCTATTTTTGAGACAGTAGGACAGATAATAATGATGGGAATAACTATGTAAAATGCTCAGAGATCAGTGGTAAGAAACAGAAAGCAGCATGTAAGGAAATGTCTTAGGGAACTGTGATGATAGTATAGAGTAGGTTTTAGCTGTGGAGTGGGTGGACAAATTGTTTCTTTTCAGCCTTGGTCTCAATAATTAAAGCATTTTAAAGTCAGGGTTGAACAGGGCATTGAAGAGACAGCTTCATCATTTTATACTCATAGGATGAATCATTTCTAAGCAAGCTCAGAGAAGGCTGTTTTGATTTATGGGTCTTCAGAGCGTGACAGATTATTAAAATAAACTTCCAAAATTTTGAATCCTTTTACTCCTGGAAGAAAGTCAGGAAAACCGCAAGATCTTTAGTTACTTCTTTTTATTTTTATTTTTATTTTTATTTTATTTTATTTTTTTATACTTTAAGTTTTAGGGTACATGTGCACATTGTGCAGGTTAGTTACATATGTATACATGTGCCATGCTGGTGCCCTGCACCCACTAACTCGTCATCTAGCATTAGGTATATCTCCCAGTGCTATCCCTCCCCCCTCCGCCCACCCCACCACAGTCCCCAGAGTGTGATATTCCCCTTCCTGTGTCCATGTGATCTCATTGTTCAATTCCCACCTATGAGTGAGAATATGCGGTGTTTGGTTTTTTGTTCTTGCGATAGTTTACTGAGAATGATGATTTCCAGTTTCATCCATGTCCCTACAAAGGACATGAACTCATCATTTTTTGTGGCTGCATAGTATTCCATGGTGTATATGTACCACATTTTCTTAATCCAGTCTATCATTGTTGGACATTTGGGTTGGTTCCAAGTCTTTGCTATTGTGAATAATGCCGCAATAAACATACGTGTGCATGTGTCTTTATAGCAGCATGATTTATAGTCATTTGGGTATATACCCAGTAATGGGATGGCTGGGTCAAATGGTATTTCTAGTTCTAGATCCCTGAGGAATCGCCACACTGACTTCCACAATGGATGAACTAGTTTACAGTCCCACCAACAGTGTAAAAGTGTTCCTATTTCTCCACATCCTCTCCAGCACCTGTTGTTTCCTGACTTTTTAATGATTGCCACTCTAACTGGTGTGAGATGGTATCTCATTGTGGTTTTGATTTGCATTTCTCTGATGGCCAGTGATGATGAGCATTTTTTCATGTGTTTTTTGGCTGCATAAATGTCTTCTTTTGAGAAGTGTCTGTTCATGTCCTTCGTCCACTTTTTGATGGGGTTGTTTGTTTTTTTCTTGTAAATTTGTTTGAGTTCATTGTAGATTCTGGATATTAGCCCTTTGTCAGATGAGTAGGTTGCGAAAATTTTCTCCCATTTTGTAGGTTGCCTGTTCACTCTGATGGTAGTTTCTTTTGCTGTGCAGAAGCTCTTTAGTTTAATTAGATCCCATTTGTCAATTTTGGCTTTTGTTGCCATTGCTTTTGGTGTTTTAGACATGAAGTCCTTGCCCATGCCTATGTCCTGAATGGTCATGCCTAGGTTTTCTTCTAGGGTTTTTATGGTTTTAGGTCTAACGTTTAAATCTTTAATCCATCTTGAATTGATTTTTGTATAAGGTGTAAGGAAGGGATCCAGTTTCAGCTTCCTACATATGGCTAGCCAGTTTTCCCAGCACCATTTATTAAATAGGGAATCCTTTCCCCATTGCTTGTTTTTGTCAGGTTTGTCAAAGATCAGATAGTTGTAGGTACGCGGCATTATTTCTGAGGGCTCTGTTCTGTTCCATTGATCTATATCTCTGTTTTGGTACCAATACCATGCTGTTTTGGTTACTGTAGCCTTGTAGTATAGTTTGAAGTCAGGTAGTGTGATGCCTCCAGCTTTGTTCTTTTGGCTTAGGATTGACTTGGCAATGCGGGCTCTTTTTTGGTTCCATATGAACTTTAAAGTAGTTTTTTCCAATTCTGTGAAGAAAGTCATTGGTAGCTTGATGGGGATGGCATTGAATCTGTAAATTACCTTGGGCAGTATGGCCATTTTCACGATATTGATTCTTCCTACCCATGAGCATGAAATGTTCTTCCATTTGTTTGTATCCTCTTTTATTTCCTTGAGCAGTGGTTTGTAGTTCTCCTTGAAGAGGTCCTTCACATCCCTTGTAAGTTGGATTCCTAGGTATTTTATTCTCTTTGAAGCAATTGTGAATGGGAGTTCACTCATGATTTGGCTCTCTGTTTGTCTGTTGTTGGTGTATAAGAATGCTTGTGATTTTTGTACATTGATTTTGTATCCTGAGACTTTGCTGAAGTTGCTTATCAGCTTAAGGAGATTTTGGGCTGAGACAATGGGGTTTTCTAGATATACAATCATGTCGTCTGCAAACAGGGACAATTTGACTTCCTCTTTTCCTAATTGGATACCCTTTATTTCCTTCTCTTGCCTAATTGCCCTGGCCAGAACTTCCAACACTATGTTGAATAGGAGTGGTGAGAGAGGGCATCCCTGTCTTGTGCCAGTTTTCAAAGGGAATGCTTCCAGTTTTTGCCCATTCAGTATGATATTGGCTGTGGGTTTGTCATAGATAGCTCTTATTATTTTGAAATACGTCCCATCAATACCTAATTTATTGAGAGTTTTTAGCATGAAGGGTTGTTGAATTTTGTCAAAGGCTTTTTCTGCATCTATTGAGATAATCATGTGGTTTTTGTCTTTGGTTCTGTTTATATGCTGGATTACATTTATTGATTTGCGTATACTGAACCAGCCTTGCATCCCAGGGATGAAGCCCACTTGATCATGGTGGATAAGCTTTTTGATGTGCTGCTGGATTCGGTTTGCCAGTATTTTATTGAGGATTTTTGCCTCAATGTTCATCAAGGATGTTGGTCTAAAATTCTCTTTTTTGGTTGTGTCTCTGCCCGGCTTTGGTATCAGAATGATGCTGGCCTCATAAAATGAGCTAGGGAGGATTCCCTCTTTTTCTATTGATTGGAATAGTTTCAGAAGGAATGGTACCAGTTCTTCCTTGTACCTCTGGTAGAATTCGGCTGTGAATCCATCTGGTCCTGGACTCTTTTTGGTTGGTAAGCTATTGATTATTGCCACAATTTCAGCTCCTGTTATTGATCTATTCAGAGATTCAACTTCTTCCTGGTTTAGTCTTGGGAGAGTGTATGTGTCGAGGAATTTATCCATTTCTTCTAGATTTTCTAGTTTATTTGCATAGAGGTGTTTGTAGTATTCTCTGATGGTAGTTTGTATGTCTGTGGGATCGGTGGTGATATCCCCTTTATCATTTTTTATTGTGTCTATTTGATTCTTCTCTCTTTTTTTCTTTATTAGTCTTGCTAGCGGTCTATCAATTTTGTTGATCCTTTCAAAAAACCAGCTCCTGGATTCGTTGATTTTTTGAAGGGTTTTTTGTGTCTCTATTTCCTTCAGTTCTGCTCTGATTTTAGTTATTTCTTGCCTTCTGCTAGCTTTTGAATGTGTTTGCTCTTGCTTTTCTAGTTCTTTTAATTGTGATGTTAGGGTGTCAATTTTGGATCTTTCCTGCTTTCCCTTGTGGGCATTTAGTGCTATAAATTTCCCTCTACACACTGCTTTGAATGCGTCCCAGAGATTCTGGTATGTTGTGTCTTTGTTCTCGTTGGTTTCAAAGAACATCTTTATTTCTGCCTTCATTTCGTTATGTACCCAGTAGTCATTCAGGAGCAGGTTGTTCAGTTTCCATGTAGTTGAGCGGCTTTGAGTGAGATTCTTAATCCTGAGTTCTAGTTTGATTGCACTGTGGTCTGAGAGATAGTTTGTTATAATTTCTGTTCTTTTACATTTGCTGAGGAGAGCTTTACTTCCAACTATGTGGTCAATTTTGGAATAGGCATGGTAGTTACTTCTTATAGTTCTTCAGGATGATCTCTGTGAAGAGGAAGGGAAAGGTGAGGCTTGAAATATTTCATTTCAAAGGGATTAGTGTTAGTAGTAGCAAAAACTTTGAAAATAAATAGAAAAGCAAAAAAGAAACTTAAAAGCAAAGAGACTCTTACTTGAAATAAATGTGGGTGAAATATGTATTTTAACAAAAAGGATTCCAAAAAGCAAAATTAGGAATTATGTAGCAGAGTAGGGAAAGAAGAAATGAATTAATAAAAACAATTAGATGTTGTGGTGTTTAATTTTTGTCAAAGTCTACTGATCTATTTATTCAATAAAAAATCCATGTAATCATCCCATCCATCCATCCATTTAACAAACACATATTGAAGACCATAACATGCTAGGAACTACTTTAGGCAGTAGATATATAAATGAGACATACTCCATGACCTCAAGGAGCTCAGAGTTCCTGTTATATTTTGCAAAATACAAACTGAAAAATTACAATGTAATGAGTTAAAATTTGTACTGGAGGTGTAAACAGTACTATTATGGGAGCCATAAAAATATGACATTTTTATGGAACTTATATATACAAAATTCATACAAAATTTCAGGCATTTTAGAAAACAAGCTTCTGAGAATAGCTGAAGGATTTAAAAATAGTGATACATCAACAATGTAACAGGACTGTGGGTCTGGGAAAAATGTGGGGAGCATTATATGCATTAATCACTACAATACCTGTGAAGTAGGTACTGTTATTATTTCCATTGCACTAATGAGGCACACTGAGGCAGAGGTAAGTGAGTTGCCCAGGATTACACAGCTAGTAAGTGCTTAGCTGTGGTTAGAATGAAGGCACTGAGAAATAAAATAAAAATGAAACCCTTAGCTCCCCAAGCTACTGAATGGACCCTCTCTTGGCCAAGGGCACCCCAGAGTAACCTTAAAAGCTGAGTTTTCATCCATGACAAGATGGGCGGTCAGAGGTGCCTTCTTACATCCCCGCCCTCACTTAACTACCATTAGACTTTCCTACCTAAGTGCTAAATAGAAACCAGCTCTTTTGAAAGACTCCACTGCTGATATCAACAAATCACTGAAGCAGTCCCTCTTTTTTTGTGGTTTTAACATGGCAATTAACCAGCATTCCTTCCTGATAAGAGACCAACTATATGCTACTCATGAAGGGGCATGAAGCACAATTGTGCATGTGCATGGTTGTCCTTTCATAAATATTCAAGATTCCTCCTATAGCTTATTGAGCATATGTATTTGGCCACCTCACTCAGTACATATTCCTTTTGACACTGTCTCGAAATATTTGTTTCTGGCTCCTGGCCAGAGGCTATATTTCCCAGCCTGTCATAATAGCCACCCTTCAGGCTACAACTCTATGAGAAATAAAGGTCCTCCTTTCCAAATTTATGAACCCCATCATTCTTCAGTTGATAGCACTGACACCCCATATCTAAGTATATTAAAAGAGAAATAAGCTGCAAATATATATAATATATAAATATGTAATATATGGAAATATATGATATATACATATTTATATATAATTTATATTATATATAAAATATATTTTAATATACTTTAATATATTCAAGTAAATTAAAAGAATATATTAATAGTTGTATATAAAATAAGTATTTTAATATACTTTAATAATGTTAATGTATATACTATATATTTTAATATACTTTAATAACATTAAAGTGTATTATTAAATATAATAATATATTAAAGTATATTAAAAGAGAAATAAGCAGCAAATGATCTTCAAAATAGTCTCATTGAGATCAGCCCTTCTCTTATCCTAATGGTTTCTTCTTGCCTAGTTTACTGTGGGCAACAATGCATACAGAAAATCAATGTAATAACTACATCTTGATATTTTCTGCTACTGGTTTATTTATGACACTCGAGGTCCCTTGGCTACCTATACCCATCTATATGGTGAAGATGCTTCTGTATACTCCTTCCTCACCATCCCACAGAATAAGTGAGCTCCATATCCTAAAAATAGGAAAATTAATTTGCATTCTTTCTAAGTGTTGTATATATCCACAATGGTGATGATATCACTGTTTCTCCCTATTGCTACCCAAATCATTCTTAATTTACCTTTCTGAGAATTTTACTCTCAACCTACTTTTACTTTAACGGAATCATAGGATTTTAGAGGTAGAACATTTCTTAAAATTCTAGTTAAAATCCCTCCTTTTGCTATGAAGAAACTGTCATAGAGGAAGATCTCACGACCTCAACATCACGCAGATTCTTGTTTTCTCCCAAAGCATTGCTTCTCTTGAGAAGATTTCACAGTTCACTCACCGACAGGGAATGCACCTGTACTCCTAGGTATTTCCATAGTCATCCTCTAGGTACTACATCCCTGTAGATTAAGAATGGGAATTTTCTAGATGTTGTTAAAAGAGGAGCAGAAGCTTAGGAGGAGTAGGTGGGTGGATGTAAGATGAAGTAAATCTTCTTAAGGAACTTATCCAACCACTGCTCTAAGAGTAAGGACTGATTTGGAATAGTCATCCCCTCCTCAATGGCAACCTTAGAAAAAAATGCCCTAAGTCAATCTTCATGAGTGGCTTATCTCCCCCAAGAATTTCCCATAAACATAATTGCTTGCTTTGGGTTTTTTTGGTACAATTCCCAGCTTTTCTTGGAGTGTTACAGTGCATACCCAAGTATGTATAGTTTATTTAGCCCAATTTTATTAAGGACGTGGTATGGGCTGGATGAACCTCATTTTAGACACAGAAGATAGGAAAACAATATTTTTAAATTGCCATTGTGGAGTTCAAATTCCAGCTGCCTTTGGTAGTATGACAATAGCAACATATGATCCATTGATAAACCCTGGAGTTGCATCTCCTAAATATTTTCTAAACAAATTATTATTCTCTTCAAATAGTTATTGCTGTATTGTTAGTTTAAGCCATATATATATATATATATATTCTTGTAATGTTGTCTTACTCTGATTTATTCACATAGCAGCCAGGGTGATATTTCTAAATTGCAAATTGTATTAAGCTATTCTCCCGAGTTTTATTGTAAAACATATTGAAAGAAAATTGGAAATCCAATTTTATTATTGTGGGCTACATTACTTGGTCTTTGACTAACTCTTTATTTTGTTCTTATGCTTCTACCAGTTGTGGGTCTTCTACAGTTCTTAGAAAGTCTTTCATGACACAAGGCCTTTTCATTTACTATTCTCTATTCCTAAAATGCTTTTCTTCAAACTTTCAAAGTTAGAAAAACGTCACCAACTCAGAACCTTTTCTAAAATACTCCATCACACACATACCACTCCCATCATTATTTACTCTACCATTGCCTTTTTATTTCCTGCTTGTCTTTTAGCACTAGTAGCAATTATTTTATTTTACTTATTTATATTTTATTTTATTTTTATTTGTTTACTTATTTATTGTCTGTCTATATTTTCAGAATGGAAGTTTGATGAGGCAGATATTGAGTGTTCCTTGTTCATTGTTGTGTCTCAGCAGGTAGCATATAGTAGATACTCTCTAAATGTTTGCGGGATAAACAAATGAATAGTTTACAGAAGTGACACAGAAGCTATATATTTAGGAATAGACTTTTTAATATCACATGTAGATAGCTTTGTTTTGACATGTGTTAAATGACAAGTGCTGGACAGAATAAGAATTGTTGCGTCATTTATGGTATTTTAGGTAATGGTTATGTTAATGTAGGGAAACTAGGTGCTTGTTCTTCCTTGAAGTGACATGGTGTAGTGGTGTGTGTGTGTGTGTGTGTGTGTGTGTGTGTGTGTGTGATGAGTAGTGGCTGAGCATTACTAGCTTTGGGAGTAGGGGGTTTGATTGGCTGCCTGACTATTGGATTGAGATGCTCCAGCAAAATATTTCTTTTCCACTTGACACTTGTGAAGGGTGGAGGACAGAGACACTCATCAAGGAGTGTGGAGGGATGAATCCTTTGTATTTTTGTCCTAAGGAATAAATGTGGTTGATTTTGGTTCTTAATGCAAAGTATATACATCATTAGTTTCTAATTTTATGTCATATGTTGAACACTGAGGTACAAAAGAAAATCTCTTTGACACTTTTTTCTGGTAAAATCACCCTTTCTATTCCATAATACCTGATGTATGTCTGTCTTTTCAAGACATCAACACTCATTCACCTAAATTCTTTCTAGATTAGTGCCATTTTCTACTTCTGTTTTGGTGGAATGGGTATGGAGTAGAGCAGAGGAAGAAGGGGTGATTTGTGTGACGACACTCAGAATCATTGCATCATGTCCCCATAATAATAAAAAAGCATATGATCTTGTAATGGTATTTACTGCTTTAAAATATTCATCTCCTTTCAATAATAAAGGGACAATTATTTACTTAGGAACAAATAATCGCTTCCATCTGGTCAAAAACTACATAGCATAATAGCAAAATATGTAAATGAGCTGAGTAATCATAATATTTCAGATGCTTTTGTTAGAAATTTATTTGATTGTTGGAACCTCATAGTTGACTTATCAGTGAATGTAAATGAGTTAGTATATAACTAGCTCATAGCCCTCATAACTAATAACACAATGTTGTGTTATTAGTTATGAGGGCTATGAGCTGCCTCCTCCAGGTAAGTACAATAAGATCATTGTTTCTTGGAATGTTAGGAAATATTTCATTCTGGATAACCTTATTATCTTTCTTTTGATTAAAATCTTCCTAAACCAAATTTTAAATTTTTCAATCTTATTAAATATGCTTCATTAACTCACTGAGGTCCACACTGGGCAATTTATGGGCAAGGGGAAATTGATCCCTTTTCTAAATAGTCCCACACTATTCAATTTCTGAGTATTTTTACCTTTCTTCTGCTTGCTACCAGATTCCTGGAAAACACTGGTTTTATGTGTGTGTGTCTGCTTGTAGTAAGCCATCCCTTTTTCAAAATACAATGCTTCTATAAGATATTGAAAGTCATTTATCTATGTTTGTTAAAATTATGTATAAATTGAGTCAGTAGGTTCCAAAAATGGCGCATTTAATTTCTTTTCTCAGTAGTATACATAGTGCCCATAAGTGTTTGGACACAGCCACGTCTATTTGGTTTTACAGAACCTTAACTTTTTAAAAATTCCTTTCCATATTTAATTTTTTTAAGTAATAGGAGAGGCAATATCATAAAATATCACATCAACAGAAAAGAAACAACTCTCTTGTATTTGCTGTTGGTTACAACAAAACTTACTTTGGTGTGGCAGTTTTTAACCTTACTTAAAGAAAAGCATATTTGGTAATGTGAACTGTTATTTCATTTTTATTTGACAAGTTTTGTGCTACTTAGTGGTGTCAGATTCAATACAGGGCAGTAAGCAAAATTTTAAAAATAATATTATTCCCATTGTCACCTTGAAACAGCAGAGCAGATCAGCTCAGAATCAAATTGGGTAGCAAGCATACTCATTTCTCAGATCAGTACACCTACTTACGTTCCTGCTGTGGTGAGCAAATTTTATACTCAATGTAGTATCAGGTATTGATGAATCTGGTCACAGCTAGAAGAATTTTTTATATAAGGCCTTGCATAGCTGTATGTTGTGGCTGGTTACCTGTTACCAAGGATTAAGCTGTACAGTTTTTGGTTATAGTTATGGAAAAATATGTCCCTTCACTACTTATGAAGCCTTGGGATCTCTTTTCTGTATCACAACTAAAGTACTGCTAGATCTGTGTGTGTGCTATTAGAATGCAAGCCTAAGTTTCCAGGTTGGCAAGATTTCCCAACAAAAAAAAAGATATAGAAAAAAGAGGCCACATCTCTGATTGCCAGTCTAAAATTTGGCTACACTCAGAAGTAGCTTCACATATTGCTTACTAATGTAGATGTTTGGGGGAAGAAGTAGTGCATTGCCAAATTTCAGAAAAAGTAAGTTTTTAACATTAACAAGCTGAGATTTGAGTTTCAAATATATGCCACACTTCATATAGTTTTAATGTTTCCAATTTATAACTTCATCACATACTCTCTCCCTCTTGGTTTATCAGATATAAAATGGGCAACCAAATGTATCCTCGTGTAATCTGTTAGTGACAGGGAACGTATGACAATTTTGAAAGCAGTGATATAACTCTAGGTAAATGCTATGTCTACTAATTATAGTTTCTTAATTTTCATAGCTATATTATGAAAAGAGTAAATTGAAGAAATGGAAACTGCAAATTACACCAAGGTGACAGAATTTGTTCTCACTGGCCTATCCCAGACTCCAGAGGTCCAACTAGTCCTATTTGTTATATTTCTATCCTTCTATTTGTTCATCCTACCAGGAAATATCCTTATCATTTGCACCATCAGTCTAGACCCTCATCTGACCTCTCCTATGTATTTCCTGTTGGCTAATCTGGCCTTCCTTGATATTTGGTACTCTTCCATTACAGCCCCTGAAATGCTCATAGACTTCTTTGTGGAGAGGAAGATAATTTCTTTTGATGAATGCATTGCACAGCTCTTCTTCTTACACTTTGCTGGGGCTTCAGAGATGTTCTTGCTCACAGTGATGGCCTTTGACCTCTACACTGCTATCTGCCGACCCCTCCACTATGCTACCATCATGAATCAACGTCTCTGCTGTATCCTGGTGGCTCTCTCCTGGAGGGGGGGCTTCATTCATTCTATCATACAGGTGGCTCTCATTGTTCGACTTCCTTTCTGTGGGCCCAATGAGTTAGACAGTTACTTCTGTGACATCACACAGGTTGTCCGGATTGCCTGTGCCAACACCTTCCCAGAGGAGTTAGTGATGATCTGTAGTAGTGGTCTGATCTCTGTGGTGTGTTTGATTGCTCTGTTAATGTCCTATGCCTTCCTTCTGGCCTTGCTCAAGAAACTTTCAGGCTCAGGTGAGAATACCAACAGGGCCGTGTCCACCTGCTATTCCCACATTACCATTGTGGTGCTAATGTTTGGGCCATCCATCTACATTTATGCTCGCCCATTTGACTCGTTTTCCCTAGATAAAGTGGTGTCTGTGTTCAATACTTTAATATTCCCTTTACATAATCCCATTATTTACACATTGAGAAACAAGGAAGTAAAGGCAGCCATGAGGAAGTTGGTCACCAAATATATTTTGTGTAAAGAGAAGTGAAAGATAAATTATACATTTTATAGTTCCCCTGAGGATCATTGTCCTAAAGCAGGAAGTATTTGCAGTAATAATGCTGCATTGACTTCCTCCTTTCATTTGTGTTATTAAAATTTTACTATAATTTTTCTCTATTCATTCCTCTTTATATTGAAAAAATAGAGGCATTAAGATGAAAATAAATTTACTCACACCTACCCTGAAATTCCCAACAGATCATTATTAGAATTTGAGATATAATAATCTGCTAAAGTACATTTTAACTAATTGTTTATTGAGTACTCTGCAGAGGCTCTGGCTTTGACGGGAACATGTTGAGAAAAATAAATAAGACATGGAGACGTGTCCATTACAAATATGAAGTAAATGGCAAGCATATGGATGCAGCTAGCTTCAAGTTAGCAAATAAATATTTTTGTCATGTTTCAGTGTTGGCTCAGTGGAATGGTATCTGGTCAACATCTTGCTGGGTCTGGAAAAACAGATTATTTGTCCTTTATCTCCTCTTATTTCCAGAGTTGATGGAAAATGAGGATTTTCCATCAACTTATAAACTGAAATACCTTATAAAGGTATTTCAGTTTATATTTCAGGTGGTGTCTATTCAACAGTTTGGAGACAGAACTCAAAATTTTATCACATTATGAAAACAATTTTTATGAATTCAAAGCAGAGTATAATTTGGCTGATACATGAGATTCATGTCATTCCAGATGAAGCCTCCAGGCAACTAGCAATTTTTGTAGCCAGTCCCTACTTACATCCTTCAGAGTGAAAGCAGCCTTGGGGAGAAAGCTTCTAGGTTGACTGGGATTGGTAGACATCTAGCCGTGTAATTTTTTTCTAAACTATCATCTCCTTTGCCACTTTTGTATGTTTTCCATAATTGCTAATTCTGCCTCTCATGTTAAACTTAAATTGGTAGAGTGCTGTTTTTGTTAGTGCTTAATTCAGAGTTCTTTCCCATTGACAGACCTAGACGTATTGGTTCCCATGATCCCTTAGAGAATTATTAGGGACTGATTTCCTATTCTCAAGCACTAAAAACTCACTCTCCAAGCTTCAGAATGTAAGAGGTAGATTAGAACATTTGATTTTATAGGTTATGTTTTTTACTTAAATTTATTAGTTTTTAATTTCAAAACTAGGGAATCTTTTCATTGAAGGGCAAGAATGCATTGGGTATATTAATCTTTAGTCTTCTTTTTTAAATTTGATAATGTAATATGGACTAAATTTTAAGTGAATTAGATCCTTGTCAACATTGGGAATGAATATATAGAAACAAATGGTATAACTATTCCTAGAGTTACTATTTATTTACAGATATATTATTTATTAATTGAGGAGGTAATTTGTGCCAGACCCAGTGTATCTCAGATGCACAGGATGGAATGGTGGTACACAAAGCTTGTTTTTTGCTTTGGGAATTTTTCCTTATGGTGACCTTCTTCGATCTTCAATGCTATGTTGCTTCTCTTCTAGGAACCCAAAGGCACAGATTGACGTTATAAGTCCTGATTTTTGACTTGACTTCTCATCACCTGGAAGTGAATAAAGCAGTAGACTTCTCTAACATTTTGTAACACAGCATGAAAAAATATAGAGTACAAAAGATATATATATATAATATGATAAAATGATGAGTTACGTTTCTAAATCTTTTATCATCTTACTGTCATTTCTCTATATTTGGTCTAGCCAGACTTCTATTCATTTTGTCACTTATCTTTCATCAAACTAGGGCTGATGTTCTTGGGAAAGGGACCACTGATTTGATATGCTCTTCAAACACCAGCACACTGTACTATATAGAAAGATATTTACTGAAAATACTGAAGCTAGTAATACAAAGGAAAAAGGCATAAAAATAGTGTGATAACTAATTGCTTACTTAAGAATATTATCTGAAATTAGAAACTAATATCAATGAAGAAAAGGGGAACTTTTGGCAAACTCTAGTAAGTAATAACTGAGCCTGATACATGGAGGCCATAATTGGAATAAGGACTGAGAGCAATTTCACCCCTTGGAGGACATTTGGAAGTGCCCAGAGACATTTTTGGTGGTCACAACTGAGGACATATATTGGCATCTTGTACTGTTTAGACATCTTACAATGCACAGGACAGCCCCCAGCCCCTGACTCCCACATGGATTATCTGGCCCAAAATGTCAATAGTGCCAAGAATAAAGAACTCCATCAGGCTGAGAAACTCTGACTTAAATAATGGGCAGGGATAAGGCAGGTTAGTGTAGAAGAAATAGGTGTTAACCTCATATGCAATCTTGTCTCATTGAATATTGTTTCCAAATAGCTCAGGATCCTCAGCAGTCAAATACAAAATATGCTTCAGGACTCCTTTTCCCTATATAACTCCTACATTTTCTTTCAGTTACTTTTAAATGTCTTTTAATCTCTTTTTTTTTCTTTCAGTCTCTCCTACTCCTCTTTCTTTCAAAACTGCTGCTGAGCTACTATGTTTAAAATCAGCAATATCTCGGTTGAGTATATTATCTTTAGCTCAGTATTGTGATTATACTTTCAATTATACACTGACTTGTGTGAAACTTTAGAACCCAAGTCCCATTCATCTTCTGGCTTTTTGCTAATCTCAATATTAACCAGAATTTTATTATTATATCTGGTTAAAAGAGAGCTTTATTGCTCAAACAAAATTAAAGTTCTTCTGTTTTTTTAATTACTAAAATAATATATATTCATTAAAAGTTAAAAACATATGAATATATAAAGAACAAAACAAGTATCACTGGCAATCTCTTTTCTCAGGGATTTTCTTCAACAAAGTTTATAAAGTCTCACCCCTCCAACTCCATTGGAAGCAGACCAGTTGGCCTATCATGCATTGTTCCAAAATATAATTACCATTAAATAGAGGTCCAGGTGAAGACAAGCTACAACATGCTTACATAAATAAGTATAACCCTCAGATTTTATATCCCACAAAACTGGCATTTAAATAAACAGGCCACAAAGTTTTAAATATGCAACAAAAATCTGTGAATGTTGTTTTTAAGACCTCTTTGATGAAATTATCAGAGAACAAATTACAGTCAAACATGTGACTAGGACAAAAGGCTGGGTTTCTGACACACACACACACATATATACATATATATATACACACACATATATGTATATATACACACATATATGTATATATATATATACACATATATATGTATATATATACACACATATATATGTATATATATATATACACACATATATATATGTATGTATATATATATATACACAGTAGTCCTCTTTTATCCATAGGAGATATGTTCCAAGACACCTGTGGATGCCTGAAACCATGGATAGTACCAAATCCTATATATACCATGTTTTTCTTATACATATATGCCTATGATAAAGTTTAATTCATAAATTAGGCACAGTAACAGATTTATAACAACCAATAATAGAATAGAACAATTACAACAATATGCCAACACTACTCTTGCACTTTGGGGCCATTATTAAATAGAATAAGGATTACTTGAACACAAGCACTGTGATGCTGTGTCTAACTGATAACCAAGGTGGCTACTAAGTGATAACGTGCAGGTGGCATGTATAACATGGATACACTGGACAAAGGGATGACTCATGTCCCTGGAAGGATGGAGAAGGACAGCTTGAGATTTCATCCTGCTACTTAGAATGGGGCATAATTTAAAGCTTATGAATTGTTTGCTGCTGGAATGTTCCATTTAACATTTTTTGGACTGAAGTTGACCATGGACAACAGAAACTACAGAAAGCAACACTGTGGGTAAGAGGGGGCTACTGTATTTAATCTAGTATTAGGCTTATTAAACTATAAAGACAACTAAGCAGACGTTGAAAACAGAGATCGTCTTCAAGGGAAAGGCAGTCAGGATAATATCTCACTGGTTTCCTTCCTTCCTTCTTTCCTTTTTTTTTCCTTTTCTTTCTTTCTTTCTTTTTTTTTTTTAAGCAGAGTCTCACTCTGTATCCCAGGCTCCAGGGCAGTGGCTTGATCTCGGTTCATTAAAGTCTTCGCCTCCCGGGTTCAAGCAGTTCTCCTGCTTCAGCTTCTTGAGTAGCTGGGATTACAGGTCCATGCCACCATGCTCGAGTAATTTTTGTATATTTAGTACAGAAGGGGTTTTGCTATGTTGGCCAGGATGGTCTTGAACTCCTGGCCTCAAATGATCCACCTGCCTCGGCCTCCCAAAGTGCTGGGACAGGCATGAGCCACGGGACCCGGCTGATCTCTTTTCCTTAACAACAAAAAAGTAAACCAGTGAAGAGTTATATTATGACAAGAGAAAAGAGTTTTTATCTCAGTGAAAATATAATCAAATAAGAGCATCTTCAGAGCTGGATTATACTCCTAAATGTAGTAACTAGAAATATAAAGTATCTAGAAGAAAACACAGAATAATATATTTGCTTACACAATTGGAATAAGCAATGATATCTTAAGCAGCACAAAAGCAGGTGTAATAATAAAAAGTGATCCAATGAACCTCAAAAAATTAAAAATTACTGCTCGTCAAGATACACTATCATCAAATTATTAAGGAAATCATACACTGGGAGGAAAATTTGGTCTCTCTTAATCTCCCTGTTTCTCTCTGTCTTCAAGTAAAGAAAAATCAGCAAAAAATTTGAACAGACACTCCAGAAAAGAAGATACAGAAGTGATCAGCAAGTTCACGAAAAGATGCACGTCATTACTCAGCAGGGAATGGTCCACAACACACGATCAAGTGTTCAGGCAGAGCGCTCTCCCACTACTCTGAGGAACAGAACAAAATGGCAGAGAAGGAAAAGAGGAAGGGGTTTATCAAGTGCCCCAGGAACATATAACATACTGGAGACTAGACACGTCCATAAAAATGACTCAGTTTCCCCATTGCTTGTTAGTGCTGCCTGGTCAGTGGGCCAGATTCATCCATGGCACTAGGAAGGCAGTCAGTTCTCATCCCCTTCGGACGAATCTTTCTAGAAACTGATATAGCCAATTACCAATACATCCTCACCCTCACGTGCTCTCTCCTGGACTCCGGATGCTCTACCAACATGAAGAAATATATTGAGTGCCTCCAGGTGCTCAGTCCCAGGCACTTGACACTCTAGACTATGCAGCAGCGCTGGGAGGACTCAGCTTTCCGAGCTCCACAATTTTATGTTGGGAGCCTGTGGCAACTACTGACAAAAACAATGTAGCTGCCATCAAGATGTAGTTCTTGTCTGCTGCACTGTTTTAAAGGTGCCCGGTATTTATTTTAATCAGGAATGGTAAGACACACTGTCATGGAAATGACTGTCATGAAGGAAGAAGTTTTTAGACTCACAAATCCCTAGAAATAAGAGGTTGGTTAGGTGAGTGGGGAAATGAGAAAAATGTGGGTAAGAGCCTTTATCATGGTTTCTGTGGAAATAAATGGATGGGGCAGGATAAACAGGTTTAGGATTGGCTAGATTGAATAATTCCAGTGGGCTCTGGAGGATAGGGGCTGTCTCTAAGTGTCTGGCACTTGGCCCTGGGGTGATTAGGGAAGGCAAATAGTGGCCTGGAGTGTAATAGCGCTATAGGTGCCTGATAAAAGAAGCGGCTGGAGTATGGTTTCTAGATTGGTTGCAAGTGAGGCTTTTACCATCTCTAGGAATTGGCTAGCCATAAGAGGGATAGTTCCTCCAGTGTTAGGAAGGCACAAGACATTAAAGCATTAGAAATGCAGAAAATATAATGGCATAAGTAAAACACAACACCAAATGTTGGTGAATTAATTGTTGGAATAACTTGAACTCTCATACATTGATGTTGGGAATTTACAATGGCTAACCACTCTGAAAAACTTAATAGAAACTTCAGGTAATTTCAGGTAGATGTAAACAAACAGCTACCTTATGACCTGATAATCCCATTCGTGTTTAGCTAAGACATGTCTATGAAATGATTTAAATTCGCATGCTAATGAAAACCTTATTGGTGGCCTAAGATTTGAAACAACCCAAATGTCCATAAAAGGATAAAATGATAATAAACAAACTTAGGGTTAAGTATATAATGAAACATTAGTCCGCAGTAAAAAGAAACAACTACAGAAAATGCAACAATACGCATGAATCTCTAAATCGTAATGCTGAGTTTAAAAGCCAGATACAAAAT
Organism: Homo sapiens; assembly: GCF_000001405.40. NCBI lineage: Eukaryota > Metazoa > Chordata > Mammalia > Primates > Hominidae > Homo > Homo sapiens. The sequence continues at coordinate 21,645,116 of NC_000015.10, forward strand.
AACACATGTCATATGCTTCTGTTTTTATAAAATCCAAGAAAAGGTAAAACTAATCTATGCTATTAGGAATTAAAAGATGAAAGCTCATTATGATGTTAGATGGTGGGGGTGGATGGCAAAGATCACAAGAAACCTTTCTGGAGTGACGGAAATATTCTTTATCTTGTTTACAATACTAGTTTCTAAAGTGCATATATTTAACACAAGTTACTACGTTGAACACTTAAATGTGTGTATTTTAATGTATATACATTGTATTCTAAGAAATACAACCAAGAATTTATTTTCATGCTTGCTTGTAAATACAGATAAATTTCTTGAAGGATACAAAAATTAATATTAGCTTCCAATTTTGAGGTATGGGGTGAAATGGACATATAGGGGACAGATATAAGAAGGAAATTTCTCACTGTATGAATTATTTTTTATTTAAAAATGTAAATATATTACCTATTCAAAAATTAAATACATTTTTAAAGTCAAGTATATTTAAAGTACACTGCCTAATTTCCAACCTTATGGTAATGCCATTAAAAATTCTGAGTTATTCTTGCTTCCATACCTCTCATATGCAGTCCTTCAATAAGTCCCATTGATTATCTCTCCAAAGTTTATCTTTGGTATAAATTCTTCTGTCTTCTTTTTTACCTCTTATCCTAACCTACCAACATCTCTTATTTATATTAATAGTTCTTCAAATGCTCCCTACTGTTCCCCTTGCCTCCACTTCTTGCATTTTATAGCCCGTTTTTCACTTAGTACCTGGCACAACATTTTAAACATGTAAATCAGGTAGGAACACTCCTCTGCCTGTTACATCTCACACATAGTATGTTGACCGATTGCCATTTGGCCCATATTGGCTCTACCTCTCTATCTTCCCTTACAATTTTTTCCATTTGCTCACTACTGTCTTGCCACACTAGCCTCCTTTCTGCTTCTCAATGCACCAGTCTCTCCCTTAATGAGCTTTCAACAAGTCTATCTTCAGATCTTCCCAGAGACGGTGTAGTTCTGTCATTCAGATCTTAGTTGAAATGTTGCCACCTTGTCAGAAAGGCCCTCCCTGGCCAGCTCACTTGGAATAGTAGCCTCTTCCGCTTTCTCTTATATTTTTATCATAGTGCTCATTACAATCAGTTGTTTTCTCTCTGGTATGTTTGTTTGTTGTCTGTTTCCATGCTTTAGGATGTAAAATCCCCAGGAACAGGGATATTTTCTGTCTTGTTCGGTGCTGCATTGCAGACACTACAATACAGCCTGGTACATGGTTTTAGTTTCTAAGATAGTCTAGGGAGACAAATCTTTCCTAGCAGGAATAACAAGCCTTCATTCTAAGGATTAATTTAGATCATTAGACTATCTTCACTTTAAGTATTGTGGAAAACATTAGGAAGCAAAGTCCCTAACTATGTCTACAATTATGAAAAAATCATATTTTAAAAAATCTTTGGTAGCAAGAAAGACTATAATATACTCAAAAATGGGAATGTTTTTCCATGTGTTTCTTTACTTATATCACTTCTTTTCTGTTTCTTTTAAGAAAGTAAACACTGCACTTTTTAGTTTATTTGGTGTATATAGTTTTACAAAATATGCATTTTTGTGCCTGGCTTTTTATTTCCTATTATTCCATTACTGTCTTTGCATTTGTTCCTGTTCTTGCATTTCTCCCCCCCGGTTTTTTTACCTTTATGATTTTGTGTATCTCTTTCTCCCTTTTTCTCTTTTCCCCATGTTCCATTTTTCCCACTTATTATTTTCTGAATTGGACATAAATTAGAACAAAATATTATTGATTATGCATTATATTTGTTGAAAAACTGTTTATTAATTTTTAAAATAAAAAATCTTTTTAAAATAAAAATAAATCTACTGAAATTTAATTATATTGTGTTCTACTATGTGATTCTTAATTACTTTTCTTCTGTCTAGTAATATTTACTTAAAAAAATAGTTGTCTTTGCTTTAGTGGAACATAGGAGACACTTATTCCTAAAATGAAAACAACAAAGGCCAAGACCACAATAGGGTGTATTTAAGAATACATCTCTTTGTGAGGAATTAGTCCTTCAATATGCAGTTCTCGTCTCCAAGAAGGATTATGTCAAAGAGTCTTTGTGAACATCATTTATTTTTCTTTGCCTATTTCTTTGTCATCAGAAATATGTTGAATTTACCATACTACCTACCTGACCACATTACTTCTTTTCTTGATCTATCAATGATTTCCTATTATACACTTTTTTAAAAAAAATAGTAACGTAAGAAATAAAATAACCTCTTTTGGCTTTCTGCCCACATGGACCTAGTAAACATGCTGACTATTCTGTAATATGTGTCACTGATAGAATGTTGATTTTAAAACTTAGAAGTAACATAGTGACTTTTAAATCATATATACTTCACTATTTATATATAACATGTTTCTAGTCTCATTCTTTGACTATATTTTGTTGGCATTTTAACAATTCCCTTTGAAAGTGTTTGCAGCTTTGTTAGCCTTCAAATTCCCAAAGTACATTCTCCATTGCATCACAAATTGGTTGCATAAGAGATTCCTCTGTGAGAAGAGATATTTAACAATGAAGTCAGGAAAAATTAGTTATTGTTCCTTCTATTAGAAGGAGGTGATATCTGCTGTTTGACAGGAGCATTAGATTACTAGAGAGGTAAATGTTTTTCCATTCTCCATATTTATAAGGAACATAAGGAAGAAATGGAAACATATTGTAACACCTCAGGTGGGACATCTGCTGCCTTGAAATGCAAAGATCAGAATTATAGTGATTATATAGGTTATGGGTTTCAAACTAGAAATAGATTAATATGTTTAATCTGAATTCAGTAATACAGTAGCACCTTTTACCTGGTCTTAATAATATAGCCCCAGTTTCTCCTAATATTTAGAATTAATTTATTGGGAATATATAAAGCCTTTATTAACATTGCCTTGGGAATGTTTATACTTGGTCCTAAACCTATAGCTATTAACTGAAAGACGTGAGGGAACAGAAGTCATATCCAATGCAGAAATGCTAGGCTGCAGAAGAAATCTTCACCAACTTCACGATTTTGCAGGAGACTAGCTCTGTCTAGTTCCCACACCTGCTGGGATGAGAGGTTCTTTTACAAAGAGTCTTACCATATACCAATCTGGGGCTTTGACAGCTGGCTGAAATGAAGCCTTCATAAATTCTTTTCTAGTAATTTCTTACATTAACATAGCTACCTTTACCCCAGCAACTCATTTCAAAGGCAGGGACAGAGGATCTATATTATATATTTACTTCTTAGAAACTAAAGCCCCTCTTAATATCTACATTTTTTCCTTGTTTAGTTTTGGTTTAGTCAGACTTCAATATGCTACTTATTGCTATCATTCTCATATTATATTCATAAATCAACACAGTGAGATAAAATAACTCAGGCTAAGGAAGATGACCGTCCCAAGATCTCACGGTTAAAAAAATTGCACAATGAAGAACTTAAACCCAGATAGATGCCCAAACGAGGGCTTTTTAAATGACATCCATTACTTTGCCTAGAAATCATGGCATTATAAACATTGGTATCAGTTAATGATTTGATGATACTCTAACTTTATCCACATTTCTCAGAACACACAAAAAATTAGTGATTATATAGGTTATGGGTTACAAATTAGATAGCACATATTAATAGACATCACATTCTTATTCTTATTTTGGGAACATTTCTAAAATGTGTTTTTGCTGGTAGGGTGGATTAATGAGAAATTTCTTTCAAGCAGAAAGGTGAATAGTGCCACTTTTATTAAGATCAGTTATAAACAGACAAAATATTTGAGGTAATGGGAAATAATTTAAAAGTATTTACACAGTATATTTTAAGTAGGATACTATTCAAGGAAAGTAATTTAGTACTGAAATATGGGTTAGGTATTTTTAACCCTTACAAAAATTGGAGTGAAGAAACTTCATGTGCTGTCCTTACTACTGTTTCAAAAGAAAACAATAGTGATGCTTCTCAGAATTAATGGGAAGGCAAACATGAGATCTAATAAAGGAGAAATGAATAGAGAAGAAGAGAGAGTGGAAAAATATTGGAAACTGCAAGAACATTGAGAAGTAAAAACAACAAAGGAGAAAAAATAGAAGAGATAAGAGAAAAGCAAGGGGAATCATTAGAGAACAAATACGAGAGAGAAAGAGAAGATAAAATAGAGAAAGAGAAACCAACTTAAGTAAAAGTATAACTTAAAAAATGAAGTGTAGAAATATTTAGCGAGATGGGAGGGGAAGATAATAAAATAAATATTTTAAAAGGAGGCATGAGGAAATATAAAGAAAAATGAGTGAATTAGTGCCTGTGGATGGGAATCAAATCTCCAAATACCTGCTCCATGAACTTTTTAACAAGAGCCTGGACTCTAAACGTGAACAGTGCATAGCGCAGCCTTTATCTGGAATGTGTGTGTGCCCCCACCCATCACTCTTTCCTCTTCTGTGCTGCTCCAGCATTGTCAGGAACAGATGAAATTTTGTTTCTGTTGAAATTGAAATATAGGATAGAGGGAGTGGCAGTCATTCAGATTTCTATTTCAGCTTCCACTGACAGTGATCCTTCTAACATTGTTATGTTCTTCTAATATAGTTAGACAAGACCAAGCTTGTCTTTGCAGGAATTTCTGTGCTTTTATTTTGCTAGGACTTACTTCATTTTACCTAGAGGAATGTCCACCTTATGAATATATATATTTGGTTTCTGGATCCATAATGAGCATGATGTGAGCACTATCCATATAACAAAAGAGCTTAGAGGGAAGCACACAAAGGGAACACAGTGAATCAAAGATATTTGATGGTAGAGGGTTCCAGATGTTACAGAGTCAGTAGGAGAACAGAAGTGGATAACAGGGAATAAAATGCAAGGTACAGTGCAAGAACCTGAAACTCCCAATCTCAGAGATACTTGAAAGTTTCTCCTATGACCCAAATACATCCTCAATTTTTGAAAGAGTATGAAATAACCAACTGCATAATAACATGCAAGATGTACACAACTTAAGAGTAAGCAGAGAGGGATTCCCGACTTTTCTATTAGCAGGTTTTATATGCACAGAAAGACTGATAAATATTAAGGTCAATAAATGGCCAAGTGCCAAAAAAAAAAAAAAAAGAAAAGAAGGGTATGATATGTAAAATTTTATGCTTCTGTTTTGGTTAGGATACGTGTGTTTGCGTGTATTTATTTGTGTCTGTGTGATGTACATACATGTGATGTAAGATACTTTTTTTTGTTTGAGACAGAGTCTTGCTCTGTCACCCAGGCTGGAGTGCAGTGGTACAATATGGACTCACTGCAACCTCCACCTCCCAGGTTCAAGCGACTCTCATGCTTCAGCCTCTGAAGTAGCTGGGACTACAGGCTCCTGCCACCACGCCCAGCTAATTTTTATATTTTTAGTAGAGTCAGGGTTTTGCCAGGCTGGTCTCGAACTCTTGGCCTCAAGTGATCCACCTGCTTTGGCCTCCAAAAAGGGTGGGATTACAGGTGTGGGCCACAGTGCCTGGCCTAGGTACTTCTTTCATAATTCCCAATTCTGACCATACCTGAAAACCTCTGCTATTAATTAATATATTAGGATTAGATATATTTTGAAAAGCATATCTTTTGATGTTTTAAATAGATGTGCCATTATAAATATTTTCTTTGATTTCTTAATTCGGGACTTTATTGTTTTTGTTTCCCTCTCTTCTTACACACCGACTCCTCATTCAGTTAGTTAATGAACCTCTTTCCCTCTACGCTTCATAGTCCACATTATTTTAAAACAAATGTGCTGTGTAACAGAAGCATATGAAATATTTTTCTGTATCACATTGTAGTATTTTGTTCTAGCTCAAGATCTTTAGCTTTTAAATTTTTTTATTTCAACCACAAACCATTTTTTGAACATGCACCAAAAACATACGTATCTTCTTTATGCATTTCATATCCAATTACATCATGATTCTATATAAATGTAAAATGTTCAAAAATAAAACTTCAAACAATAGGATACAATAATGTAAGTGTAGAAATTCTCCTATTATTGCTTTCATACCAATAAATTATCATGCACATCCCCAAGCATGAGCACAGTCTCAATTTGGAAGCCACTGTACAGAGAAGCCTCAGATCTTGTTTTCTCCAGAGTGACTGAGAGCTTTTTATTTAGACCAGTTCATTTGGTTGATGTTCTATAGAGAAAAGGGAATTATTTCTGGTAAGTACAGTTGCCTTTATAAAAGTTTTTAGATAAACATTCCTAAGGTAGCATTTATATAAAATAAATTGTACTAATTGCTGTATAGTTCAATACTCAATAAATTTTGACAAAAATAGATACATATAACCATTATAATTAAAAACGGAACATTTCTGTCCCCTTGAAAAGTTCTGTCATTCTTCTTTGCTGTCAATCCCAGCTCATCTTCCATTCAAAGCAAAACATGAAGTCCTCAATAACTGGGGTTAAGTTTTTTCTCAGTCAGAAAAATTTTCATATGCCTCATACAAATCAGGAACAAATTCAGAGCAGTAACATCCAAGTCTCACATGAGTGAACACTTAAACAGAAGCACAGGACTGAAACAGAAGAAAGAGTGTGGCTTCAGGACCAGGGTGTTGGCTATCATGAAATGAGGAAGCATAAACAGTAGAAGTGATTTCTTAGGTTGTTGAGATAGATAGAATAATATAAATGTGGCATACCTTGTGTTTAGTTCAAGAACTATAATCTAGATGTAACACCTGAAAATAAACTCTTTTATTGATATTCTACAGGCAGAAGAAATGAAGATAGCAAACAACACAGTAGTGACAGAATTTATCCTCCTTGGTCTGACTCAGTCTCAAGATATTCAGCTCTTGGTCTTTGTGCTGATCTTAATTTTCTACCTTATCATCCTCCCTGGAAATTTTCTCATTATTTTCACCATAAGGTCAGACCCTGGGCTCACAGCCCCCCTCTATTTATTTCTGGGCAACTTGGCCTTCCTGGATGCATCCTACTCCTTCATTGTGGCTCCCAGGATGTTGGTGGACTTCCTCTCTGAGAAGAAGGTAATCTCCTACAGAGGCTGCATCACTCAGCTCTTTTTCTTGCACTTCCTTGGAGGAGGGGAGGGATTACTCCTTGTTGTGATGGCCTTTGACCGCTACATCGCCATCTGCCGGCCTCTGCACTGTTCAACTGTCATGAACCCTAGAGCCTGCTATGCAATGATGTTGGCTCTGTGGCTTGGGGGTTTTGTCCACTCCATTATCCAGGTGGTCCTCATCCTCCGCTTGCCTTTTTGTGGCCCAAACCAGCTGGACAACTTCTTCTGTGATGTCCGACAGGTCATCAAGCTGGCTTGCACCGACATGTTTGTGGTGGAGCTTCTGATGGTCTTCAACAGTGGCCTGATGACACTCCTGTGCTTTCTGGGGCTTCTGGCTTCCTATGCAGTCATCCTCTGCCATGTTCGTAGGGCAGCTTCTGAAGGGAAGAACAAGGCCATGTCCACATGCACCACTCGTGTCATTATTATACTTCTTATGTTTGGACCTGCTATCTTCATCTACATATGCCCTTTCAGGGCCTTACCAGCTGACAAGATGGTTTCTCTCTTTCACACAGTGATCTTTCCATTGATGAATCCTATGATTTATACCCTTCGCAACCAGGAAGTGAAAACTTCCATGAAGAGGTTATTGAGTCGACATGTAGTCTGTCAAGTGGATTTTATAATAAGAAACTGAGAAGGAGGAATTCTGGCTGGAATTCATATCATTCATTTAACAAGTCCTGTTTTTCACTGGTACCTCCCATTTGCCAGGTACCATTGTAGGCAATGGAGGAGAGTTATGCATAATGAGAGAATAAACTTATTATATTTAAAGAATATAAAGGAAACCCCAGAGTGGTTGAAGTATAATGAGTAAGTGTGAGAAATTTAAGGGTTAAGTTTTATGTGACTGCAAGGGTCTTTCGGTCTGAGGTAAGAATTTTTTCATATTTTAATTGTGGTAAGAACCCATTTTAATGTTTTAAGCAAAGGAGCAGTTCATCTACAATGCTTTCCTCTACTGGTTAGAGCAACATCAGCAAGATTTTAGGCAGAGATTAATAAACTGTAAAATATCAAAAACCAAATGTATGTTGCAAGTATGTTATGAAAAAGACTATAGTATTTTATATATATATATTAAAATTACATATATTTTAATGTTTTTATATATATTTTATATATATGTATATTTACATATATATAAAATAAGTAATATATTTTTATATATTTATAAATATATATTTTTATATATTTATAAATATATATTTTTATATATTTATAAATATATATTTTTATATATTTATAAATATATATTTTTATATATTTATAAATATATATTTTTATATATTTATAAATATATATTTTTATATATTTAATCAATATATAAATAAATATATATTTCCCCCCCAAAATTTGGTGGCGAGATAAGAAAGGAAGCCAATTTGTTTCATGGTAAAATGTCATGAAATTATTTCACTTATTTTTTCTTCAGAGCTTCACGATGATTATTAGACATTATTAGATATTTAGTACTTCAGATTGTATTACAGATTACATAAATCACTCCAGTTATTTTCAACATAGTGAAGCAGCTTCGTTGTCTGGGGAAATACCTGCAGTTCGTTGTCTTGTGCTGTGCCGATTAATGACACAGACTCACACACGGAGTGGGTTAAGGAACAGAAAGTTTATTAGGCAAGAAGGAAGAGAAGAGCTTCCCCATAGAGAGGGAGAAGCACTCTGAATGGAGTAACCCCACTTGTGGGGAAAGCAGTCAGTTATATTGGGAGGCTCAGGGAGGTAGTGTCTGATTTGCATAGGGCCCAGGGGATTCCTTTGACCAGGTGTGTCATTCACACAACCCATGAAAAGACTGGCCCTCCCACCCTAATCTTTTATTCTGCAAATGCGGCTTCTACCTGGCTGTCGCCATGATGCCTGCACATGTGGCTTTACTTGGCTGGTGCCATGACAACTGCACATGTGGCAACAAAGGAAAGTGAGCGGGAAGAGTCATATTGAGTGGACCTGGCTGTTAGCCACCTGCATTTACTTCTGCAAGCCTGTAATTTACATACCTATGCTTCCAGCATGGCTTTTCAGGCTGCTTTCTGTTAGAAAAGAAATGGTTTGGGGGCTGCTTTTTTATTAAAAGGAAAAGCCTTTCTGAGGACTCTTTTACCCTTTCTAGCTGCCTAAAAATAATTTCTTAATAACTCCTGTATTAATAGTGGGGTCTAATGTGAGAAATTAGGTACTTATAAAATTTTTCAAGTATAGAAGACCATTATTTATGCTGGGCATCTATTATAGAAATTGTTACCAGAAAAACACTGTAGAACTAACCTGCTAAGTGACCTATCCCTGCCATAACCAGGAGACTGAGAGGACAAGAAACCACTTTCCCAGCTCTTGGCTCAGGGAACACATCAATCAGCCATGGTCTGGCATGAAGAGAATTGTAGAGAGCACCTCTCATGTTATTGTCTCTCTAATTATTTTTTCTAAATTAAATTTTGTATGAGTATATTTGATAGAATCTGTAATGGTAGTGGCAAAAGTCTTTGACAAACCTGTCTGTGTGTTGACAGCTTCTTCAGAAAGCAAACAAAAATGGTGGTAAAATATAGGATAAAAAGTTTGCAATCTTGGAGGTGAGAAAGGCCATTGAAGTTTGACAAAGAAAATGAAAATAAAAAGATGTATTAAATCTTGATATCTGCTACATATTTTGATATGTAAAAATGAAAAAAGTTTATATGGGCAAAAGGCAGAAAAACGCTGAAAATATTTCTATGGCATATAGATGTGGAGATTATTTTCTGCATGATTATAAGGTTTGCATGTAAATTGAATATTTTTTCCCTACTCCAAGATTGTATGAGAGGGCATCCATGAATAAAAATTAAAATAAAAATTACTAAAAATCGATATAAACGATAAAAATTTATCTAATACATAAATAATTTGCTTAAATGAATATGAAATAGGTACATAGAAGGAAATGTGGGCAATGAACAAAGGAAAAAAACGAAAAGGCTTATAAGCATGAAAGTAAGCTTACCCTTAAAAATCAACCACAGAAATGAAAACCACTGATTTTGATTAGCATGTAGGATAATGTTGCTCATGTATTATCAATAAAAAAGTACAGAATAGGGTGAGGTGCCAGAAGCAGCTATCATGTGCCACTCATGGAGAGGGAGACAGGGTGGTGAGTAAACACTAGCTCTTCACATGGATCGTCCATGAGGCCATGTTAGGATTCATCAAGGAAGCAACTGCAATCGATGGACAGCAGAAAGGGGCCAGGCAGGAAAGCAGTCCACCCAGGATTGGCATAGAGCCAGGTGAGGCTCCCTACCATAGGGAAAGGGTGAATAAGAACCTCCTGGGACCCACACTTCTGCCATGGGCCTCTGCAATCCTGGCACAGGAGATCTCCCGTGACCCCGAGGGGCTTCCAGACCAACACAGAGAGATTACTGGAGTCTGGGCAGAGCTGCAGCTAGGGTCACCTGGAGCCCCATGAGCCGTGGGGCCCTGAGCACCTTGGTGCCAGCTGCCATAGCCACACCAACAAGGGAGGCCAGCTCTCTCGCATGCCCCTAGAATAGGGGCTGCATCCACGGTGCTGAGGAGCAGACTGACCGCAGGCCCCGCTTGCTTCATCAAGCCAGGCAAAGCCCACTGGCCTGGGTCGCCCACGCAGCCAACCCACTCCCACCTGAGCACTCAGGCCAGTCAGGCTCTCCATTTCTTTGGAAAGGAACTCCCAGAGGTAACCAATAGGCCTGAGATTTCTGGTACTGTGGTCTCCCACATGCCGCCCTCAGGCTGGGGAGGGATCGAAGAGCGCAGGAACTATCCTAGACCTTCAGCAAGGCAGCTGTCATACGAACAGCTGTCATACGGAAAAGTGGCCAGATTATTTTCCACTTGGGTCCCTGTCCCAGCTACTCCTCACTGGGCAGGGCCTCCGAGCCTGGGGTCCCAGCACAGCTGCCCCACCCCCACCCGTTCTTTCATTTGGCGGTGGCCCTAAGTTTCTCTGGGGTAGAGCTCCCAGAGACAACCGGCAGGCTCTGTGCCACCACTAGCTGAGTGTAAGGTCCTTCCTTGCTCCCCGCAGGCTAGGTAGGGAACAAAGAGCCTGACTGCAGCTGTCCTAGGGAGAGAAGGCCAGATTGTCTTCCTTGCGAGCCCCTGACCCCGGCTACTCTTCACCAGACACGGCCCGGCTTTGGCCCACAACACAGCCGCCCCACCCCTGGATCCTTCACCTTAGCAGTAGCAGTAGCTCTGGGTGGAGTTGCCAGAGGCAGCTGACAGGCCCTCTGCCACTGCTGCCACCCCCAGGGCTAGGGAGGGAACAAAGAGCCTGCTTGCTGTGCTTGCACATCCAGCATGCCACAGCTGCACTACGGAGAGGAGGTCAGACAGTCCCCCCAACAAGCCCCCGATCCCTCTGCTCTCCACCAGGGAGGGCCCTGGGCTTGCGCCCACAGCACAAACGTCCCATCCCGGGCTGATCATTCTGGTTGGCAGCGGCTCTGAATTTCTCTGGGGTGGAGTTCCCAGAGACAACTGACAAGCCCTCTGCCACCGACACCGCCAAGGTCCCCTTCCCTGCTCCCCCAAGCAGGGGAGGGAATAAAAAGCCCGAACTCGCCCCAGGTCCAATACTAGAGCGGGAAGAGAAACCCACACTCCCAGAGCACCGAGAGGGGTAACCGCATGAGTTCCTGGGCTGCTGTGGGAGCGGGGCGCGCCTCCCTCTGCAGGAGGAGCCTGGAAAAGGTGTGGCCTATCTCCCTGCGGTGGCCTCTGCCTGAGGGAGCCCCGCAGCCTGGAACACCTAGCAAAAGAAATGATGGTGCAGTGCTAGTGATCGGAGGGGGTTCCCCCAAGGCTCAGGAGCTGACCTGGTGAGGGGGTCACTTCTTTCCCCGCTGTACGGGAGACCAGGCTGTAGATGTGAGGAAGTACAAAGGAACCACAGGCCTGAGCAAGAGTGTATTTACCGTCCATTACTCTTAAGCGACATCTACTGGATTGCAGCCAAAACTGCTACAACACCAAAAATATTTTGCTAATATCCCCCAGTGAAATCAAAGGCAAGAATCCAGCCACAAATAAAGACCCTGCACAAAGCCTTGGCTATCTGAAAACATTCAGAAACAAAGCCAAGTGACTATACTCAAATTACACCACAGGTAAAGGAACGCCAATGCTTCCAGATGAGAAAGAATCAGTGCAAGAACTCTGACAATTCAAAAAGCCAGTTTCCCCATACCTCCAGATGAGTCCACCAGACCCCAAGCAATGATTTTTTTTATTTGCTTTCCTTATTTGTTTGCTTGTTTGGAGATACCTTTTACTTTTTTAATTTTAATTTTTTAATTTTTAGGTTCAGTTATACATGTGCAGATTTGTTATATAGGTAAATTGCTTGTCATTGGGGTTTGGTGAACAGATTTATCACCCAGGTAATAGGCATAGTACCTGATAGGCAGTTTTCTGATCCTCACCCTTTTCCCACAGTCCAATCTCAACTATGCCCAAGTATGTATTGTTCCCTTCTTTGTGTTCATGTGTATTCAAGGTTTATCTCAAATTTGTAAGTAAGAACATGTAGTGTTTAGTTTTTTGTTCCTATGTTGGTTCACTCAGGAAAATGGCCTCCAGCTCCATGCATGTTGCTGCAAAGGATATGATCTCATTCTTTTTATGACTGCATAGTATTCCATAGTATATTTGTACCATATTTTCTTTATCAAGTTCACCATTGATGGGCATCTAGGTTGATTCCATGACATTGCTATTGTGAATATTGCTACGATGAAGGTACTTGTGCATGTGTCTTTATGGTAGAATGATTTATATTTCTTTGGGTATATGCCCAATAATGGGATTGCTGGGTTGAATGCTACTTTGGTTTTAAGTACTTTGTGAAATCACCACACTGCTACCCATAATGGCTGAACTAATTTATATTCCCACCAGCAATGCATAAACATTCCGTTTTCTCTGCAAACTTGCCAGCATGATCTATGATTTTTTGACTTTTTAATAATAGCCCATCTGACTGGTGTGAGATGGTATCTCATTGTGCTTTTGATGTGCATTTCTCTAATGATTAGTGATGTTGAGCATTTTTTTTCATATGCTTCTTGGCCAAGTGTATGTCTTATTTATTTTTTTTGAGATGCAGTTTCACTCTTGTCACCCAGGCTGGAGTGCAATGGTGCAATCTCGGCCCACTGCAACCTCTACCTCCTGGGTTCAAGAGATTCTCCTGCCTCAGCTTCCCCAATAGCTGGGATTACAGGCACCTGCCACCATGCCTGGCTAATTTTTGTTATTTTTAGTAGAGATGGGGTTTCACCATGTTGGCCAAGCTGGTCTCGAACTCCTGACCTCAGGTGATCCACCCGCCTTGGCTTCCCAAAGTGCTGGGATTACCGGCGTGAGCTACTGCGCCCAGCCTTGACTACTCTTTTTTTTTTTTTTTTTTTTTTTGATGGAGTCTCACTCTGTCACCAGGCTGGAGGGCAGTGGTGCGGGCTCGGCTCACTGCAACCTTTGCCTCCTGGGTTCAAGCAATTTTCCTGCCTCAGCGTCCCGAGTAGCTGGGACTACAGGCGTGCATTTGCAAATACTTTAACCTATTCTATAGGTTGTCTGTTTACTCTGTTGATAATTTATTTTGCTGTGCAGAAGCTTTTTAGGTTAATTAGGTCACATTTATTAATTTTTGCTTTTGTCATCTTTGTCATGAAATCTTTGTCAGGGGCTATGCTGAGAATGGAATTTCCTAGGTTGTCTTCCAGGGTTTTTATAGTTTGGGGTTTCACATTTAAGTCTTTAATCCAGTTGGATTGATTTTCATATATGGTATAAGGGAGGGGTTCAGTTTCCATTTTTTGCATATGGCTACCTAGTTATCTCAGCACCATTTATTGAATAGGGAGTGCTTTTCCCATTGCTTGTTTTTGTCAGCCTTGTTGAAGATTAGATGGTTTTTGTTTTTAGTTCTGTTTATGTGGTGAATCACATTTACTAATTTGCATATGCTGAACCAACCTTGTGTTCCAGGGATAAACCCTACTTGATTGTGTTGGAGTAGAGTTTTAATGTGCTGCTGGATTCAGTTTGCTAGTATTTTCTTTTTTTCTTTTCTTTTTTTTTTTTTTTTTTTTTTTTTGCTAGTTTTCTTTTTTTGTTGTATCTCTGCCAGGTTTTGGTATCAGAATGATGTTGGCTTCATAGAATAAATTAGGGAGGAGTCCTTCCTCCTCAAATTTTCAGAATAGTTTCAGAGGAAAGGTACCAGCTCTTCTTTATGCATCTGGTAGAACTCAGCTGTGAATTCCTCTGATCCTGGGCTTTTTCTGGTTGGTAGGCTTTTTATTATTAACACAGTCTTGGAACTTGTTATTAGTCTGTTCAGAGTTTCAGTTTCTTCCTAGTTCAATCTTAGGAGGTTGTATGTTTCCAATAATTTATTAATTTCTTCTAGTTTGTGTGCATAAAGTTGTTCATAGTAGTCTCTGAGGGTTTTTAAAAAATATTTCTTTGGGGTTGGTGGTAATGTTTCCTTTGTCATTTCTGACTGTGTTTATTTTTATCTCTTCTCTTTTTTGCTTTATTAGTCTAGCTAGTGCTCTATCAATCTGATGTGTTATTCTGAAGCAACAAAACCTGGATTTGTTTATCTTTTGTATGGTTTTTTGCATCTCAATTTCTTTCAGTTCAGCTCTGATTTCAGTTATTTCCCTTCTCTTGCTAGCTTTGGGACTGATTTGCTTTTGTTTCTCTAGTTCCTCTTGGTGTGATGTTAGGATGTTAATTTGAAATCTTTCCAATATTTTGATGTAGTTTTTTTTTTAGTGATATAAACTTTCCTCTTAATACTGCTTTATCTGTGTCCCAGAGATTTTGATACGTAGTATGTTTGTTCTCATTAGTTTCAAAGAATTTCTTGACTTCTGCCCGAATTTCGTTGTTTACCCAAAAGTCATTGAGGAGAAGGTTGGTTAATTTTCACGTATGCTTTTGATGTATTTTATTGTATTGATTTCAATGTTTATTGCATTGTAATCTGAGAAAGTGTGGTTTGTATGATTTTGGATTTTTTGAATTTCCTGAAAATTGTTTTATGATTGATTGTGTCGTTGATTTTAGAGTATGTGCCATGTGCAGATGAGAAGAATGTATAATATTCTAATGTTTTTGGGTGGAGAGTACTGTAGATGTCTGTTAGGACCATTTTGTCAAATGTTGAGCTCAGTCCCGAATCTCTTTGTTCATTTTCTGTCTCAATGCTCTAATATTGTCAGTGGGTTGTTGAAGTCTCCCAGTAGTATTGTGTGGTTATCAAAGTCTCTTCAAAGGTCTCTAAGAACTTCCTTTATAAGTCTGGGTACTTCTGTGTTAGATGTATATATTCTTAGGATTGTTAGGTTTTCTTGTTGAGTTTAACCCTTTACCATCATGAAATACCCTTGTCTTTTTTGATTGTTATTGGTTTATAGTCTATTTTGTCTGAAATTAGAATCAGACCATTTGCTCTTTTCTGTTTTCTTTGGCTTGGTCTATTTTTTCTCCATCCCTTTATTTTGAGCCCCTGGATATCACTGCATGTGAGATGGGTCTCTTGCAGAGAGAATACAGTTGGGTCTTGCTTCTTTATCTGACTTGCCACTCTATGCCTTTTAAATGCCTTGAAGCATTTAACCCATTTACATTCAAGGTCACTCAAGGTTAGATTGTGTCTTTCCCAGCAATGATTCCTAAACCATAAGAAATTACTGAAATGAGAGACATAGAATTCAGGATCTGGATGTCATGGAAGCTCATTGAGATTCAGGACAAATTTGAAATCCAATCCATGGAATCCAGTAAAATGACAGAAGAGCTGAAAGACAAAATAGCCACTTTAAGAAAGAACCAAACTGAAACTCTCGAGTTAAAAATTCACTAGAAGAAGTTCATAATACAGTTAGAAGTATTAACAGCAAAATAGACCAAGCTAAGGAAAATATCTCTGAGCTCAAAGACTGGTTCTTTGAATTAACACTGTGAGACAAAAATAAAGAAAAAACAATTTTAAAAGTGAACAAAACTTCTGAGAAAGATTATATAAAGAGACCAAATCTACAACTCATTGCCATTACTGAGAGAGAAGGACAGAGAATAAACAACTTGGAAAATAAATTCGACTATATAGTCCATGAAAATCTTCCTAATCTTGCTAGAGAGGATGATATGCAAATCCAAGAAATACAGAGAATCCTGGCTAGATATTGTACAAGATTTACAAGGCACATAATCTTCAGATTCACCATAGTTAATGCAAAAGAAAAGGGATCTAGAAAGAAAGGTCGGGTTATGTATGAAGGGAACTCCATCAGGCTAGCAGCAGACCTTTCAGCAGAAACTTTATCAGCCAGAAAAAATTAGGGGCCTATTTTTAGTATTCTTAAAGAAAATAAACTCCAACCAAGAATTTCATATCCCACCAAACTTAGCTTCATAAGTGAAGGAAAAATAAAATCCTTCTCAGAAAATAAAATGCTAAGGTAATACATTTCAACTTAGCTAGCCTTATAACAGGTCCTTAAGGGAGTGCTAAACACGTGAACAAAAGAACAGCATCTGCTGCCACAAAAACACGCTTAAGCACATAGCCCATAGACACTATGAAGCACTACACAGTCAAGTCTATAAAACAGCCAGCTAACAACATGATGACAGGATCAAAATCTGACATATCAATATTAATCTTAAATGTAAGTTATCTAAATGCCCTACTTAAAAGGCATAGAGTGGTAAGTTGGATAAAAAGGCAAGACACCACTGTCTGCTGTCTTGAAGAGACCAATCTCATATGTAATGAAACCCACAGGGTCAAAGTAAAGGGATGCAGAAAGATTTGTCATGTAAACAAAAAACAAACAAAAAATAGTAGGGGTCACTATTTCTTATAGCGTATAAAACAAACCAACAACAATTACCAAGGACAAAGAAGGGCATTACATAATGATAAAGGGTTCAGTTCAACAAGAAGACTTTATCCTAAATGTATACACACTGAACATTGGAGCACCCGACTCATAAAACAAGTTTTTCTTGGCCTACAAAAAGACTTAGACAATCATACAATAATACTGGGAGACTTCACTGCTCCACTGATGGTTTTAGATCGTTAAGGCAGAAGACGAACAAAGAAATTCTGGACTTAAATTTGACACTTGACTAATTGGACTTAATAAACATCTACAGAACACTCCATCCAACAACCATAGAATATTCATTCTCATCTACACATGGAACATATTGTAAGATCAACCACACGCTTCGTCAGAAAGCAAGTCTGAATACATTCAAAAACACTGAAATCATCCCAGGCACATTCTTGAACCACAGTGCAATAAAATTAGAAATAAACGTCAAGAAGGTCTCTCAAAAGTACACAAATTCATGGAAAGTAAACAACTTGCTCCTGAGTAACTCATGGGTCCACACTGAAATTAGGCAAAAATCAAAAAAATTCTTTGAAATTAAAACAGGGACACAACTAACCAAAATCTCTGAAATGAAGCTAAAGCAGGAAATAAAACTTTTTATATAAATAAGTAAATAAGATAATAAGAGGAAAGATTATAGCACTAAATACCTTCATCAAGAAGTTAGAAAAATCTGAATTTAATAATCCAACTTTGTACCTAAAGGAACTAGAAAAAAAAAAGCTCAAAGCTAGCAGAAGAACAGATATAACTACAAATAGAGAAAAACTTAATGAAAGTGAGATGCAAAAATATGTACAAAAGGTCAGCGAAACCAATAATTGGTCCTTCAAAATAAAAATAAACAAAATTGGTAGATTGCTAGCTAGATTAACATAGAAAAAAAGCTGAAGACCCAAATGAGTACAATCAGAAATAACAAAAATGATGTTGCAACTGATCCCACAGAAATACAAAAGATACTCAAAGAATACTATAAGCAACTTTATGCATACAAATTAGAAAATCTAGAAGAAATGGATAAATTCATGGAAACACACAATCTCCCAAGATTGAATCCCTGGAAGAGATTGAAACCCTGATTAGACCAACATCAAGCTGTGAAACAGAATCAATAATAAAAAAACCTACCAACCAAAGTAAGTCCTGGGCCAGATAGATTCACAGCTGAATTCTACCAGAGTTAAAAAAAGAACTCTACCAATTTTATTGAAACTATTCCAAAAAATTGAGGAGTAGGAGCTCCTCCCTAACTCATTCTATGAAGCCAGTATCATCCTGATACCAAAACCTGGCAGGGACAGAACAAAAAACAAATCATCAGGGCAATATCCCTTATGAATACAGATGCAAATATCATCGACAAAATATTAGCTAATTGAATCCATCAGCACATCAAAAAGTTAACACACTGTGATCAAGTAGGTACTATTCCCGAGAGGTAAGGCTGATTCAATGTATGCAAATCAATAAATGTGATTCATCACATAAACATAATAAGAGACAAAAACCACATGATCATCTCAATAGATGCAGAAAAAGCATTCAATAATATCCAACATCCCTTCATGATAAAAACCCTTAACAGACTAGATTTTGAAGGAATATACCTCAAAACAATAAGAGCCATCTATGACAGACCCACAGCCAACATGATACTGAATGGGCAAAAGCTGGAAGTATTCCCCTTAAGAACTGGTAAAGGACAAGGATGTACATTCTCACCACACTTCTTCAACAGAGTACTTGAAGTCCTAGCCACAGCAATTATGCAAAAGAAAGAAATAAAAGATATCCAAATAGGAAAATAAGAAGTCAAACTATTTCTATTCACTGATGATATAATTCTATACTTAGAAAACTAGCTTTCACAAAAAGGCAACTAGAACTGACATACAATTTTAGGAAGGTTTCAGGACATGAAATCATTGTATAAAAATCAATAGCATTTCCATACATCAATAATGTCCAGGCTGAGAGTGAAATCAAGGACACAATCCCATTTACAATAGGCACAAAGAAAATTAAATACCTTGGAATACAGTTAACCAGAAAACCCTCTACAAAATTAATGGCAAAAACACTGCTGACAGAAATCAGAGATGACAGAAATAAATGGAAAAACATTCCATACTAATAGATTACAAGAATCAATATAGTTAAAATGGCCACACTGCCCAAAGCAATCAACAGTTTAATGGTATTCCTATCTCACCACCAACACCATTCTTCTCAGAATTAGAAAAAAAGATAGAAAATTCATACAGAGCCAAAAAAGCCTGAATAGTCAAAACAATCCCATGCAAAATGTACCACATGAACATATGCACCTACTCTGTACCCAGAAAAATTGAAAAAAATGTAAAAAGAATGAAACTAGAGGCATCACACTACTCAAACTATAAGGCCATTGTAACCAAAACAGTATGCTACTGGTACAGAAACAGACACATAGACCCATAGAACAGAATAGAAAACCCAGAAATAAATCCATGCACTTACAACCATCAGCTCTTCAACAAGGCAGACAAAAATAAGCAATGGAGAAAAGACTCTCTGTTTAGAAGCCCCTACTGAGGAAAGTTGTGGGCTTGAGTCTGGAGCCTAAGAACATTCAACCAAGCTAACTCTCAGGTCTCTCTATTCAATAAATGGTGCTGGGATAACTGGCTAGTCAGATACAAAAAAAAGTGAAACTTGACCCTTATTTTTCACCATATACAAAAATCAACTCAAAATCGATTACAGATTTAAATTTAAGACCTCAGCCTATAGAAATCCTAGAAGAAAACCTAGGAAATACTCTTCTCAGCCACAGCCTTGGCAGAGAATTTTTGGCTGAGTCCTCAAAGGTAATTGCAACAAAAACTAGAGTTGACAAGTGGGACCTCATTAAACAAAAGAGCTTCTGCACAGCAAAAGGAACTATCAATAGAGTAAGCAGAAAACCTACAGAATGGGAGAAAATACTCACAAGCTATGCTTCCAAACAAAGGTCTAATATCCAGAAAGTATAAAGAACTTAAACAAAGCAACAAGCAAAAAAACAAAACAAAAAAAATCCACTTAAAAATGGGCAAATAAGGCAATCCTAAGCAAAAAAGAACAAAGCTGGAGGCATCATATTACCCAACCTCAAACTATACTACAAGGCTACAGTAACCAAAACAGCATGATACTGGTACAAAAACAGACACATAAACCAATGGAACATAATGAGAGGCCAGAAATAGTGCTGCACACCTATAACCATCTGAACTTTCACAAAGAGGATACAAACAAGCAGTAGGGAAAGGACTTTCTATTCAATAAATGGTGCTGGGATAATGGGCAAGCCACATGCAAAAGACTGAAATGTAACCCCTTCTTTCTTTTCCATTTGTTTTATTTTATTTTATTTTGTTACTATTATACTTTAAGTTTTAGGGTACACGTGCACAACGTGCAGGTTTTGTTACACATGTATACATGTGCCATGTTGGTGTGCTGCACCCTACAAAAATCAGTTCAACATGGATTGGAGAATTAAATGTAAAACCGCAAACTATAAAAACCCCAGGAGATAACTTAGGAAATTCCATTCTCAAATAGGCCCTGGCTAGTATTTCATGGTGAAGACACCAAAAACATTGACCACAAAAACCAGAAATTGACAAATGAGACCTAAGTAAACTAAAGAGCTTCTGCAGAGCAGAATGAACTGTCAACAGAGTCAACAGACAACCCACAAAATGGGATAAAATATTTGCAAACTATGCACCCAACAAAGGTCTAATATCCAGAATCTACAAGGAACTTAAATGATCGAGCAAAAAACAATCTCTTTAAAAATTGGGCAAAGGACATGAACAAAGGCTTTTCAAAGACCTACATGCAGCCAAGAAGCATATGAAAAAATGCTCGACATCGCTAAGCACATCAAAACCACAACGAGATACCAACTCACAGCAGTCAGAATGGTTATTATTAAAAAGTCAAAAAATAACATGCTAGTGAGGTTTCAGAGAAGAGGGAACACTTATACGCTGCTGGTGGGAATGTAAATTAGTTCAGCCATTGTGGAAAGCAGCGTGGCAATTTCTCAAAGAAATTAAAAGAGAATTATCATTTAACCTAGCAATCTCATTATTGGGCACATATCCAAAGGAATATAAATCATTTTACCATAAAGACATATGCACACATATGTTCAACACAGTACTATTCTCAATAGCAAAGTTGCCATCAATGGTAAACTGTATAAAGAAAATGTGGTACACAGACACAATGGAATACTATGTAGTCATAAAAAGAATGAGATCATGTCCTTTGCAAGAAAGAGATAAAAGGAAAAGAGTCAAAATTAATGAAACATAAAGTAGACAAACATTAGAAAAAAATTTAAAAGCCAAAAATTGGTATTTTGAAATGATTACCAAAATTGATAAACCCCTAGTAGAATGATGAATTTTAAAAGAGAAACACACAAACTACCAACATTAAGAATAACAAGAGAAGCACTATTAGTCCTAAAGAAACTGAAGGGATAATAAGGGAATATGAAGAATAGCAATATGACAAAACACATTTGCCAAAACTGGCACATCAAGATATACAAAATCTAAATAGGAATATATTTTAAAAGGAAATGAATGTAGAGCTGAAAACTTTCTACTAAGAAAATTCCAGGTTCATATGGCTCAACCAGGGAGTTTTCTAAAATATGTAAGAAACGGGTAATGCCAATTGTATCTAAACTCGTTCATAAAATAGAAGAAAGGATACCATTGCCCAACTTTCTTTATGAGGTCAGTATAACCCTGATACCAAAATCTGACACAGGATTTTGCATTGCAAGGATTTTGCATTACAAGAAAAGATGATTTCTCAAAAACATACACATACAATTTTATTTTTATTTTTTTGAGACGGACTCTGACTCTGTCACCCAGGCTGGAGTGCAGTCGTGCGATCTCGGCTCACTGCAAGCTCCACCTCCCGGGTTCATGCCATTCTCCTGCCTCAGTCTCCCAAATAGCTGAGACTACAGGCGCCCACCACCAAGCCCGGCTAATTTTTTGTATTTTCAGTAGAGACGGGGTTTCACCGTCTTAGCCAGGATGGTCTCGATCTCCTGACCTCATGATTCGCCCTCCTCGGCCTCCCAAAGTGGTGGGATTACAAGCGTGAGCCACCCTGCCCGGCTACACATAAAATTTTAAAACAAAGCATTAGCAATCCGAACATGACAATACATAAAAAGTTGTGACCAGATGGGATGTATCCCAAAAACGCATAGTTGGCTTAACATTTGAAAATCAATCAAGTTAATTGCTATATTCACTGAATGAAGGTGGAAAAATGATATGATCTTGCCAATAGAGGCAGAAAATCATCTGTTTTAACATCCATTCATGTCTGTAAAAAATTCTAAGTACATTGGAAATGAAAGGGAACCTCTCCAGTCCAATAAAGGGCAATTATGAAAAACCTATAGCAACCATTATAACATATGATAAAATCTTGAATGCATGCCCCCTTAAGATTAGGAAGAATGCAAGTATCCATGCTCTCACCACTTCTATTCAACATGTGCTAACCACTGAAATAAAGTTTTTTTTAAAGGTATTAATATTAGGAAGAAAAAAATAAAAATCTATTTATTCATAGAAGAAATGTATGTGTAGAGCATACTATGGTGTCTTTAAAGAACTAGAATTTACAAGGAAATTTATCAAGGGTTGCAGGATACAAGATCAACATTTAAAAACTAAATCTTGGTGAGAATGTGAAACAACTATTAACTCTGAAAAACGAAACAAAGTAAACTTAAATGTTATTATTCTTCTTCCTTTGATTTTTTTGTATAAAGTGTTAAGGATATAAAAATACTAGAAGTCATGCCATAAAAGTAAAAAAAGAAAAAAAAATTCTCTTTGAATTTTTATTTTTTGACTTTTCTTTTTTTTTCTTTTCTTTTTTTTTTTTTTTTTTGAGACGGAGTCTCGCTCTGTCGCCCAGGCTGGAGTGCAGTGGCGCGATCTCGGCTCACTGCAAGCTGCGCCTCCCAGGTTCACGCCATTCTCCTGCCTCAGCCTCCTGAGTAGCTGGGACTACAGGCGCCCGCCACCACGCCCAGGTAATTTTTTTTTTTGTATTTTTTATTACAGACGGGGTTTCACCGTGTTAGCCAGAATGGTCTCGATCTCCTGACCTCGTGATCTGCCCACCTCGGCCTCCCAAAGTGCTGGGATTATAGGCGTGAGCCACCGTGCCCAGCCATTCTTTGACTTTTTAATAATAGTCCTTCTGACTGGTGTGAGATGGTATCTCATTGTGGTTTTGATTTGCATTTCTCTAATGAATAGTCAAGCTGAGCATTTTTTTTTTCATATGCTTATTGGCCGTATACATGTTTTCTTTTGGGAAGTATCTTTTCATATAAAAAGTGGTCATTTTTTTGAGAAAAAAATGAATAAATTCAGAGACAAACTCTTGTTGGTTAAAAATAATATTGAATATATACATGTCAATGCATAAATAGAATACAATTTAATAAAATACCAGTAATACTTTTCATTGTAAAATTAATTCAAGATTATCTAGAAGAGAAAATCTATCCAAGGTGATAAAACTTTCCTAGAAGGATTAAAAAGTCTCCATTTTGAGGACTATTTTAGATCTTCAGATTAATTTTATCTTATCTATTAGAGTGAACATTAAGAGGTGAGTAAGATCCTGGATTATATGCACAATTATGAAAAAAAATCATGTTTTTAAAAGTTTTGGTGGCAAGACTAACCTACTCCAAGATGGGGTTGTTATTCCACTTAAGAACGTATCTAACCTCATTCATTTTGCTTCCTTTCTCTATTTTCCTCTGTGCAGCTCTCTTTATCATTGTTTTCTTTTTATGGTTATATGGATTTGTAGACTGTGCATTTATATGGACTGCCATGCGAGCTGTCACAGCCCAGACAGTGGAGTGTGGTTGGCTTGTGGGTAGTAAGAAGAATTTACCAACAACTGTATAGATTTGAAAAGGAAAGTTGTATTAGATGGAAAGAACGCTGCAGAGGAGTGCAGCAGGGCTCCTCAGCAAGAGAGGACTGAGGACGCCACTGCAGTAGATTTTTCCTTAGGGTATTTATGGACCTTAAAGTGGGAGCTTAAGGGTAATTTTTACCATATTAGCCACATAGGTCATGGTAAACAATTACATTTATAGACATTTTGGTGCCTTGATGTCAGCAGGGATTGCACAATGAGTTTAGAATACATGCATTCCAGAGATGCATAGAAATTCTGGTTACTCACAAATTTTTGGAAAAGAAATCTCATACCAGATGCCAGCTTTACATAATAGGGATGTCTAATTACTTCTGAATTCCTTGGATAAGGAGTTTTGCCTCTGGATGGTCTTGCTCTCCTCATGGACTAGTATCTCTCTGTCTCTTCACCATTTGTTTTTAAGTCATACGACTATCTTTCCATTTATGTCTCTGCTAGTCTTTCTTTTCCCTTTTCTCTTGATTTTTATTTTGATTATTGTAACTTTTTCTGTACTTCTCTCTCTCTCCTTTCTTCTTTCTTTCCTTTTTCTACTCTTACACTTTGTTTTTGAACTGTGAAATAAATTAAAACAAATGTATTTGGTGATAAATTATGTTTATTACCCCCAAATCTGTGTTCTTATTTCACTTGTAAAGTGACCCATAAACTCAGTGTTTTCTTTAAAGCAAAAGATTAAACTAATTTTTAAATAAAATTAATAAAATTAATTTGCATTTATTTTTTCTGACTCAAATAATTTTTAAAATTAATAATCTTTAATGGAAAAATGTTTTTCATCCTTGTTTTAGTTGAGCAGAGTGAAAGGGAACAAATTACAAATACCAAGAGCATGACACATCTTTTCATGCTATGTAGGAGATCACCTTCCCTTTAGCAATTGTTCTATCCTATACTAAGAAACTATTTTCTCTAAGAAGAATTATGCAGCAGTATTCATGAGCTTTTCAATATTTCCTTTGCTAATGTCCTTATCACCGTCAACATCCTACAACTGAGTAAGGTGCTTATCTTGCATGCAAAATTTAAAGGCGTGCCCAAAAACTCAATAGTAGAGATAAACATTTAAATCAATATTTTGAGAAATCAAAATTAATTTTAAAATTTGTGATAAAGTACCAAATTTTAAGCAAAGGCAGGATCAGCAACTGCCATGTTGAGCCATGTTGGAACCTGAGGCAACAGGAAAAATAAATAATATTGGTGAAGTCTTTTTTAAAAATTATACTTTAAGTTCTGGGATACATGCGTAGAATATGCAGGTTTGTTACATAGGTAAATATGTGCCATGGTGGTTTGCTGCACCCATCAACCTGTCACCTACATTAGGTATTTCTCCTAATGCTATCCTTCCCCTAGCCCCCCACCCTGTGACAGGCCCCCGTGTGGGATATTCCCCTCCCTGTGTCCCTGTGTTCTCACTGTTCAACTCCCACTTAAGAGTAAGAACATGTGGTGTTTGGTTTTCTGTTCCTGTGTTAGTTTGCTGAGAATGATGGTTTCTAGCTTCATCCATATCCCTGCAAATGACATGAACTCATCCTTTTTTATGGCTGCATAGTATTCCATAAAGTATATGTGACCCATTTTCTTTATCCAGTCTATGATTGATGGGCATTTGGGTTGGTTCAAAGTCTTTGCTATTGTGAACAGTGCCACAGTAAACATACATGTGCATGTGTCTTTATAGTAGAATGATATATAATTCTTTGGGTATATACCCAGTAATGGGATTGCTGGGTCAAATGGTATTTCTGGTTCTACATCCTTGAGGAATCGCTACACTGTCTTCTACAATGGTTGAACTAATTTACCCTCCCACCAACAGTGTAAAAGGGTTCCTATTTCTCCACATCCTCTCCAGCATCTGCTGTTTCCTGACCTTTTAATGATCACCATTCTAACTGGCATGAGATGGTATCTCATTGTGGTTTTGATTTGCATTTCTCTAATGACCAGTGATGATGAGCTTTTTTTTCATATGTTTGTTGGCTGCATAAATGTCTTCTTTTGAGAAGTGTCTGTTCATATCCTTTGTTCACTTTTTGATAGGGTTGTTTTTTTTCTTGTAAATTTGTTTAAGTTCCCTGTAGATGCTAGATATTAGCCCTTTGTCAGCTGGATAGATTGCAAAAATTTCCTCTCATTCTGTAGGTTGACTGTCCACTCTGATGAGAGGTTTTTTTTTGTTTGTTTGTTTGTTTGTTTGTTTTTTTGCTGTGCAGAAGCTCTTTAGTTTAATTAGATCTCATTTGTCAATTTTGGCTTTTGTTGCCATTGGTTTTGGTGTTTTAGTCATGAAGTCTTTGCCCATGCCTATGTCCTGAATGGTATTGCCTAGGTTTTCTTCTAGGGTTTTTATGGTTTTAGGTTTTCCATTTACTCCTTTAATCCATCTTGAGTTAATTTTGTATAAGGTGTAAGGAAGGGGTTCAGTTTCAGTTTTCTGCATATGTCTAGCCAGTTTTCACAACACCATTTATTAAATAGGGAATCCTTTTCCCATTGCTTGCTTTTGTCAGGCTTGTTAAAGACCAGATGGTTGTAGATGTGTGGCATTATTTCTAAGGCCTCTTTTCTGTTCCATTGGTCTATATATCTGTTTTGGTACCAGTACCATGCTGTTTTGGTTACTGCGGCCTTGTAGTATAGTTCGAAGTCAGGTAGTGTGATGCCTCTTTCTTTTTGCTTAGGATTGTCTTGGCTATACAGGCTCTTTTTTGGTTCTGTATGAAATTTAAAGTTGTTTTTTCTAATTCTGTGAAGAAAATCAATGGTAGCTTGATGGGGATAGCATTGAATCTGTAAATTACTTTGGGCAGTATGGCCATTTTCATGATATTGATTCTTCCTATCCATGAGCACAGAACGTTTTTCCATTTGTGTCCTCTCTTTTTCCTTGAGCAGTGGTTTGTAATTCTCCTTGAAGAGGTCCTTCATATCCCTTGTTAGTTGTATTCGTAGGTATTTCATTCTCTTTGTAGCAGTTGTGAATGGGAGTTCACTCATGATTTGGCTGTTTATCTATTAATGGTATATAGGAATGTTTGTAATTTTTGCACATTGATTTTGTATCCTGAGACTTTGCTGAAGTTGCTTATGAGCTTAAGGAGATTTTGGGCTAAGATGATGGGGTTTTCTAAATATACAATCATGTCATCTGCAAACTTTGACAATTTACCTCCCTCTCTTCCTATTTGAATACGCTTTATTTCTTTCTCTTCCCTGATTGCCCTGGCCAGAACTTCCAATGCTGTGTTGAATAAGAATGGTGAGAAAAGGCATCCTTGTCTTGTGCTGGTTTTCAAAGAGAATGCTTCCAGCTTTTGCCCATTCGGTATGATATTGGCTGTGGGTGTGTCATAAATAGCTCTTATTATTTTCAGATACGTTCCATCAATACCTAGTTTATTTAGAGTTTTTAGCATGAAGGGGTGAATTTTACTGAAGGCCTTTTCTGCATCTATTGAGATAATCATGTGATGTTTGTCATTGGTTCTGTTTATGTGATGGATTATGTTTACTGATTGGGTATGTTGAACCAGCCTTGCATTCCAGGGATGAAGCCAACTTGATCATGGTGGATAAGCTTTTTGATGTGCTGCTGGATTCGGTTTGCCAGTATTTTATTGAGGATTTTTGCATTGATGTTCATCAGGGATATTGGCCTGAAATTTTCTTTTTTATGTGTGTCTCTGCCAGGTTTTGGTATCAGGATGATGCTGGCCTCATAAAATGAGTTAGGGAGGAGTCCCTCTTTTTCTATTGTTTGTAATAGTTTCTGAAGGAATGGTACCAGCTCCTCTTTGTACCTCTGGTAGAATTTGGCTGTGAATCTGTCTGGTCCTGGACTTTTTTTTGGTTGGTAGGCTATTAATTACTGCCTCGATTTCAGAACTTGTTATTTGTCTATTCAGGGATTTGACTTCTTCCTGGTTCAGTCTTGGGAGGGTGTATGTGCCCAGGAATTTATCCATTTCTTGTAGATTTTCTAGTTTATTTGTGTAGAGGTGTTTGTAGTATTCTCTGATGGTAGTTTGTATTTCTATGGGATCAGTGGTGATACCCCTTTATCATTTTCTATTGTGTCTATTTGATTCTTCTTTCTTTTCTTCATTAGTCTGGTTAGTGGTCTATTTATTTTGTTAATGTTTTCAAAAAACCAGCTCCTGGATGCATTGATTTTTTGAAGGGTTTTTTGTGTCTCTATCTCCTTCAGTTCTGCTCTGATCTTAGTTATTTCTTGTCTTCTGCTAGCTTTTGAATTTGTCTGCTCTTACTTCTCTAGTTCTTTTAATTGTAATGTTAGGGTGTTGATTTTAGATCTTTGCTGCTTTAAGCTGTTGGCATTTAGTGCTATAAATTTTCCTGTAAACACTGCATTAGCTGTGTCCCAGAGATTCTCGTACATTGTGTCTTTGTTCTCATTGGTTTCAAAGAACTTATTTATTTCTGCCTAAATTTCGTTATTTACCCAGTAGTCATTCAGGAGCAGGTTGTTCAGTTTCCATGCAGTTGTGCAGTTTTGAGTGAGTTTCTTAATCCTGAGTTCTAATTTGATTGCACTGTGATCTGAGAGACTATTTGTTATGATTTCTGTTCTTTTGCATTTGCTGAGGAGTGTTTTACTTCCAATTATGTGGTCAATTTTATAATAAGTGTGATGTGGTGCTGAAAAGAATGTATATTCTGTTGATTTGGGGTGGAGAGTTTTGTAGATGTCTATTAGTTCTGCTTGGTCCAGAGCTGAGTTCAAGTCCTGAATGTCCTTGTTAATTTTCTGTCTCTTGATCTGTCTAATATTGACAGTGGGGTGTTAAAGTCTCCCACTATTATTGTGTGGGAATGTAAGTCTCTTTGTATATCTCTAAGGACTTGCTTTATGAATATGGGTGCTCCTGTATTAGGTGCATACATATTTGGGATAGTTAGCTTTTCTTGTTGCATTGATCCGTTTACCATTATGTAATGCCCTTTTTTGTCTTTTTTGATCTTTGTTGGTTTAAAGTCTGTTTTATCAGAGACTAGGATTGCAACCCCTGCTTTTTTTTGGCTTTCAATATGCTTGGTAAATCTTCCTCCATCCCTTCATTTTGAGCCTATGTGTGTCTTTGCACGTGAGATGGGTCTCCTGAATACAGCACACCAATGGGTCTTGAGTCTCTATCCAATTTACCAGTCTGTGTATTCTAACTGGGGACTTAACCCATTTACATTTAAGGTTAACATTGTTATGTGTGAATTTGATCCTGTCATTATGATGTTATCTGGTTATTTTGCCTGTTAGTTGATGCAGTTTTTTCATAGCTTCAATAGTCTTTACAATTTGGTATGTTTTTGCAGTGGCTGGTACCAGTTTTTCTTTCCATATTTGGTGCTTCCTTCTGGAGGTCTTGTAAGGCAGGCCTGGTGGTGACAAAAATCTGTTAGTATTTTCTTATCTGTAAAGGATTTTATTTCTCCTTCATCTATGAAACTTTGTTTGGCTGGATATTAAATTCTGGTTTGAAAATTCTTTTCTTTAAGAACGTTGAATATTGGCCCCCACTTCTTTCTGGCTTGTAGGGTTTCTGCAGAGAGATCCACTGTTAGTCTGATGGACTTCCCTTTGTGGGTAACTACTTGACCTTTCTTCCTGGCTGACCTTAACATTTTTTCCTTCATTTCAACCTTGGTGAATCTGACAATTATGTTTCTTGGGGTTGCTCTTCTCGAGGAGTATCTTTGTGGTGTTCTCTGTATTTCCTGAATTTGAATGCTGGCCTGTCTTGCTAGGTTGGGAAAGTTCTCCTGGATAATATCCTGAAGAGTGTTTTCCAACTTGGTTCCATTCTCCCCGTCACTTTCAGGTACACCAATCAAACGTAGGTTTGGTCTTTTCACATAGTCCCATATTTCTTGGAGGATTTGTTCATTCCTTTTCAATCTTTTTTCTCCAATCTTGTCTTCACGCTTTATTTCATTAAGTTGATCTTCAATCCCTGGTATCCTTTCATCCACTCAATTGATTTGGCTATTGATACTTGTGTATGCTTCATGAAGTTCTCGTGCTGTGTTTCTCAGCTCCATCAGGTTATTTATGTTCTTTTCTAAGGTGGTTATTTTAGTTATCAATTCCTCTAACCTTTTTCAAGGTTCTTAGCTTCCTTGTTTTGGGTTAGAACATGCTCCTTTAGCTCAGAGGAGTTTGTTACTACCCATCTTTGGAAGCCTACTTCTGTCAACTTGTCAAACTCATTCTCCATCCAGTTTTGCTCCCTTGCTGGCAAGGAGTTGTGATACTTTGGAGGAGAAGAGGTGTTCTGGTTTTTGGAATTTTCAGCCTTTTTGCTCTGGTTTTTCCTCATCTTCTTGGACCTATCTAACTTTGTTCTTTGATGTTGGTGACCTTCAGTTGGTGTTTTTGGGTGGACATCCTTTTTGTTGATGTTGATGCTATTTCTTTCTGTTTGTTAGTTTTCCTTCTAACAGTCAGGCCCTTCTGCTGCAGGTCTGCTGGAGTTTGCTGCGGGTCCACTCCAGACCCTGTTTACCTGGGTGTCATCGCAGATGCTGCAGAACAGCAAAGACTACTGCCTGTTCCTTCTTCTGGAAGCTTTGTCCCAGAGGGGCACCAGCCAGATGCCAGCTGGAGATCTCCCGTATGAGGTGTCTGTCAACCCCTGCTAGGAGGTGTCTCCCAGTCAGGAGGCACAGGCATCAGGGAGCCACTTGAGGAGGCAGTCTGTCCCTTAGCAGAGTTCAAGCGCTTTGCTGGGAGATCTGCTGCTCCCTTCAGAGATGGCAGGCAGGAACATTTAAGTCTGCTGAAGCTGTGCCCACAGCCGCCCTTCCCCCCAGGTGCTCTGTCCCAGGGAGATGGGATTTTTATCTATAAGCCCCTGACTGGGGACGCTGCCTTTCTTTCAGAGATACCCTGCCCAGAGAGGAGAAATCTAGAGAAGCAGTCTGGCTATAGCTGCTTTGCTGGGTTGCAGTGGGCTCTGCCCAGTTCAAACTTCCTGGTGGTTTTATTTACACTGTGAAGAGAAAAGTGCCTACTCAAGCCTCAGTAATGGCGGATGCCCCTACCCCAACCAAGCTCGAGTGTCCCAGGTCAACTTCAGAGTGCTGTGCTGGCAGCAAGAATTTCAAGCCAGTGGATCTTAGCTTGCTGGGCTCCATGGGGGTGGGATCCACTGAGATAGACCACTTGACTCCCTGGCTTCAGCCCCATTTCCAGGGGAGTGAATCGTTCTATCTTGCTGGCATTCCGGGTGCCACTGGGGTATGAAAAAAACTCCTGCTTCTACCTCAGTGTCTGCCCAAATGGCTGCCTAGTTTTGTGCTTGAAACCCAGGGCCCTGGTGGTGTAGGCACCCAAGGGAATCTCCTGGTCTGCAGGTTGCAAAAACCATGGGAAAAGCCTAGTATGTGGATCAGAATCCACCATTCCTCTTGGCACAGTCTCTCATGGCTTCCCTTGGCCGGGGAGGGAGTTCCCTGAACCCTTCCACTTCCCGGGTGAGGTGATGCCCCACCCTGCTTTGGCTCATCCTCCGTAGGCTGAACCCACTGTCTAACCAGTCCCAATGAGATGAGCCGGGTACCTCAGTTGGAAATGCAGAAATCACCCACCTTCTGCGTTGGTCTTGCTGGGAGCTGCAGACTGGAGTTGCTCTTATCTGGCCATCTTGCCAGCCACCCTCTAAAGTTTGGTGAAGCCTTTAATTGAAAAATTTGAGTCTAGTCATATATATATATATATATATATATATATATATATATATATATATATGTATATATGTAATTTTTGCCTCATCCTACCCCTGCTTGCTTTTGTGGTACAAAGCAATAATCTCTCATCATTTATTTAATATTTTTCTCCTTTTGAATTTTATTATAACATGTAAATTTACTTCTCTCAAACTTCTATTTACTTCTGGACTAAAAAGTATGCTTCTGAATAGGGTTCTGTCTTTTTCACAGTAGAATTTTTGTTTTAGAACTAGAAAGGAAGTCAGCTTGGCATTATGTAGCACATTTAAAAAAAATTAGTTCTTGCAAAGCTCTGGTATTTTTCTTTGCCTTATTTAGTTGATAACTAATATAGTTTGCCTAATAACTCCCTTTGGAAGCATTCAGTGGGTCACGGTAGTCTCAAATCTCAAAAGCACTTTCTCCATTACAATAGAGAGATTTTAAAATCTAAGGTTCCTCATGTGGCAATGAACATTTATGAACAATGGCAAAATTGGTTAGTCTTACTAGGAGAGGGAGGATGGCTACTTTGTGAGAGTAACATAAGATCCCTGAAGGCTTAAATTTCTGGAGCTCTTCATATATATACAAGAAACAAGAAGAAAGAGACAATAGAAAAAATATTGCAACTATTTTACTTGTTCACCTGATATCTTAGATTGCAGTTGAATAGACAGGTCAGAGTATTAGCAGGAATAGCCACAGGCTAAGGTCTAAATTCAGCAGTGGGGCACTGTGTATTCTCTCTCCTAATAGATCTCCATCTGCATTTAATGCTTGGGATTACTTTACTGGTGAACTAAACCTTTAATTCTATTATAATTTTCCATAGACTCAAGAGAATTGACATCTGGTGTTAAAAAACAAAAAATCATACAAATGACTGATATGTATCATTTTCCTTATTAAATATGGAAGAAAGGGGAGGAGGATGCAGAAATGGTTGGCTAAAAGCTCCAGAGAAAAACTTAACAGATTTTATGATTTTGCGGAAGGTAAGTCCTTGACCTCTTCATTTTCACATTCAGCAGGTATGAAAGTTTCTTCTGTTACATATGGTTCTATCATTCATTCATAGAATTTTGACAGAAAGCTGTAGAACTGAAAAAAAGCTTGATATACAAACTACTAGCTGTATTGGCAATTTTACATGAAGGCATTACTGACCCTCCACAGCTTCTTTCTATTAACCATTCAGATTTATGCAACTACCATTATCCCAGGGGTTACTCAAAGACATTGACAAAAGATCTAGCAGCATTCTGTCCATTCAATATAACTACTTTTAACATCTAAATATTTTCAGGATTAACTTTGGTTGAAGCATACTTGAATGAATTACATATTAATACCATCATCACCTCATTTGATCCTCATGTTACCCCCATCAGACCCAAAGAGTCAATACATTAAACTATTTGGTAGATGAAAACTCAGGCTTCTGAAAGCTAAGTGACTTTGCCAGAATCACACAGTAAGTTAATTGCTCAGTCAAGGCATGAGAGTCAGATAAATGATTCCCAAACCAGGGATCCTTTTATGTTATTACATTGCCTAAAAAACTGGCATTCAAATGGAATTTAGAGGGCATTTAATCTGGCCATCTCATTTGATTGATGAATAAATTTTCTGGCTAAGAATCTACACATTTGTTTAGTGCTTTATATACTCAGCATCAGCATCAGTATAAATTAAATTTTCTATTATGTTCTCAGCCTGATTCACACTTTTTAGAAAATATAAAACTTATTTCATACTCAAATAATTTACTAACCTTGTGTAGTTAGTAAATTATTACTACTAATATTACATCTCTATTTTTGAAATTTACATTCAATATATTTATTTCATTAGGATGCTACTAATGAAATTAACTTTTTTTTAAAAAAAAGGTGAATCATCTCATTTTTATCAGGTTCACTACATATATATGAAGTAGTTGATAAATGACTCAGCGTTGGCCAATTGCAAGAATACCACTTAAAAGTAAATGGTTATTACTGAAGAGTGAATTATATATTTTCATTTTGTAGACTTAACATTTAAAATGGAAGATGGTGGGAAGCACACACATTTCTCAGTCTTGTTGGAAAAGCAAATGACAACGAGATTTTCTGTTTCTTGTTTCGTTTTGTTTTTAGATGCATTAGCAAGACAGGTGTGGGTAGAATGGAGTAGCCATGAACATAGACAAAAAGTGGAGAGAGTGAAAACATATCAGAGTGAAAAAACATAGATAAATGTAAGGGAGAAGAAAGAAAAAAAAATAAAGAACAATATTTAAAGAGAACAAAATAAATAGAGCCAGAAAGAAACAGAGAAGGGGAAAAGAACAGGCAACAAATTAACAGGGAAAAGAAATCACAACCAGAAAAAAAAAGAAAATGAACTGCTTATTGATGAATAAAGAAAGAGAGAAAAAGAAAAATAAGGAAGGAGGCGGAGTAAGCACATAAGATCTCTAAACACTTGGCTCCAGCAGCCCATCTGACCACACTCAGACTCCAGGCATGCACACACAGAGTTGCCTGGAGATGTTTCTGTGTCTCCACCTTGCAAATGTGGTGAACCCTTCTCCTTCATCTTCCCTATTTCTGCAGTGTGTCATCATGGCCAGAAACTGATCAATCCACGAATTAGCTGAAGTGGCAAGAACGATTAGAGATACAGTGAGGAAGGTATGGTACAGAGTTTTGACAGAACTTTCTCTACTAATTTGGCTAAAATAGAACACTTTACTCTGATGACGTCATCATTTATGGATTTTTTTTTTTTGGTAGAAACTTATTTTATTTTGCTTAGAGGAATGCTCATCTGATTAGTCTCCGCGTCTATTCCAACCACAATTTAGAGAAGGTAGAGATAATTCAAAGATGGAAGTGGGACAGGGAAGAAAGTTGATCAAGATGTCAAGTAGTACAGAATCCCATCTGTTAAGAAACAGTGGAAAAATAACAGTGAGGCTGGGACACAGGCAGAATGGAAGAGCTTATAACCTTCAATTTCAAAGTCCTTCAGAAATCCTCAAATGTCTCAGGGATATTGTTAAATGCTAACACATCAAGAAATACCTCACTCTATGTTAGCATGTGGGATGCATAAAACATATAAGTAAGTACAGTTGACTCCAGAAAAACATGGGTTTGAACCACACGTGTCCACTTATATGTGGATTTTCTTCCACCTCTGCCACCCCTGAGACAGCAAAACGAACCCTTCCTTTTCCTTCTCCTCAGCCTACTCAGTGGGAAGACGACAACGATAAGAACTTTATGATGATTTGCTTCCACTTAATGAACAGTATTTATATCTTCCTTTCCTTATGATTTTGTTATATTTTATTTTCTGTAGCTTAATTTATTGTAGGAATATAGTATATAATACATAAAACAAAAATATTTGTTATTCAACTGTTTATGTTACCAGCAAAGCTTCTGATCAACAGTAATCGTTAGAAGCTAAGTTTTTAGGGAGTCAGGGTATGTGCTAATTTTTTATTGCACAGGGGATCTGCCCCCTTAACTCCTGCATTGTTCAATTGTCAACTGTAGAAGGGGCTCTTGATTTAAGGAAATATTTATATAGGCAGATAGTAGAATAAATGTTGAGACAAATGGCTGGCAAAGGGGGAAAAGGTTAAGACATGAGCAGAAAAGCTCATTTGAAGGATCTACAAAATATTTTTTCCTATTACAATTTTGCATGTGTTTGTATGTGTGTGCATACGTGTGTGTTCATGTGGTATTTGCATATGTATATATGATGATGTGTTAAAATATGACTTTCATAAATTCCACATGTGGCTGCCAGTAACACCCAGAAATTTCTGTATTAACCACTCTATTCCACTCTAGGGATACATAAAGCAGATAGTTTTAATGCTTCTTAAAATATGTACCCTAAGATGACACTATATAGATGTGCTGTCTGTCTTTTGGTGTTTGTTTGCTTGTTTGTTTGCTTGTTTGGTGTTTGTTTGCCTGATTTTCTATTTCTCTCTTCTTTCTTCCCTCATCCTCTATCTTCTTGTCTTTCTTTTCTAGGTACTGTTGCAGTAGCATTTTCTGTCAAAGATTTTCCCTTCCTTCCGTACCCCATGTGCTAGAGCACTTATTTATTTATTTATTTATTTATTTATTTATTTATTTTGAGACAGAGTCTCGCTCTGTCACCCAGGCTGGAGTGCAGTGGCATGATCTCGGCTCACTGAAAGCTCTGCCTCCCGGGTTCACACCATTCTCCTGCCTCAGCCTCCTGAGTAGCTGGGACTACAGGCAACCACCACCACTACGGCTAATTTGTTTGTATTTTTTTAGTAGAGACGGGGTTTCACCATGTTAGCCAAGATGGTCTCGATCTCCTGACCTCGTGATCCACCCGCCTTGGCCTCCCAAAGTGCTGGGATTACAGGCATAAGCCACCACGCCCGGCCGCTAGAGCACTTATTTAAAACAAATACACTGTTTAGTTAAATCATATTAAGAATATCCTTTTATATTACAGTTTGTATTTTGTTGTAGGCCAACAATTTTCAAACTTAAAAAATTTACTCCCCTAAGACATTTTTTGAATATATAACCTTAAATGTATGCATATTTATTTATAAAGTATATATAAACCATTGTACTATGTTATCCATTATAAATATTAAAAAGTGAATTTAGAAAAGAATGAAATGTAGTGATACATATAAAATGTTATACACTGACTAAATATAGATAAATTACTATGTTCTTTCTATACTTCAGTGGATTATCATGTGCACCTTCTGGAATGAGTATACCCCATGAAAACAATCTGAATTTTAAATATGAATTTTCTTCACAATGGACATTGTTTTTCTTTTTATTTAAACAAGGTTGAACTTACAAATCAAAGCAATACGGGAGTGATTTTAGACTAGCAATATTATCTTTAGTTATTCAGATGCACAAAAAGAACATTCATTCATTGAAGCTGTGATTAAAAAATTCTTTATCTATTTAAACTGAATAGTATACACTTGCATTATCCTACTACTTATCAAGCAGAGCAAAAAATAAAACTCACTCTAAACTTAAGTAATATAACTACAGGTTATTTCTCATCTTTGAAATGGAAGAATAACACTACAGTATCTTTATGGCTACTTACAGTGTATCTATGCTATGATCTTATGAGTTGAGATAATGATATTTTAAAGTTTTATACTTGCAAATTTTATATTGTAGCATATTTTTTGTTAAAGGGCTGTATCTTGGGTGTCATACTTGGAACAGAGAAAGAAATGTGTTGTGAGTTTATTAGTATTTGAAACTCAAAAAGTGCTAAATAAGCTGCATGCAGGTGTGGAGTGGCCACAGGAGTGGTGTTCAAACAGAGTTACAGCTGGAGCACTGTGCCTGTGTTAGGTCAAAAGTGGAGCTATAGCTTGGGATTCTCGTGAACAGTCTGGGAAAAGAGTATTCAAGGATATCAGACCAAAAGGAGTATAGTAAGAAGTAAATTAGATGATAAGACAGAGGGCAAGGAAGAGAGTTACCAGCTAGGAACTGGGAATTACACAGGAATTGAGGGAAGAAACTGTCTAGGAAAATTTGGGGGTGGTGTGGACAAGGAGAAAAAGGGTCTAATCCCAAGAAAAGAACTAACCCTCAAGCATAGTATATCCAAAAAACTCAAAGACCTTCAGATTTGAAGTTAGGTTGTGTCTCCATTAGGAAACTTACATGATTTAGGAATGTAGGAATCCCAACGTGGAGGATACCAGACTCCTAACATGGAAAATGATTCTGTAGAAGCACATGGTTGAATGGGAATAAAACTGTAGCTTTGAGAACCATATTTTGTTTTCATTTTTCATTTTAAATTTGGAGAAATTAAGGTAACAGAGTTTCCCCAGAATAGGAGAGGGATGGGAAGTGTTGTTTTTAGCTGAAGTACTATATGTGCCAAATATTTTTTAGCTGTAGAACTAGTATCTAGTTGGAAGACATAGCAATAACAATTAATTCTGCTTCTTAATGTACTGCAGGCCAGGGAAATGGAAAGCGAGAACAGAACAGTGATAAGAGAATTCATCCTCCTTCGTTTGACCCAGTTTCGAGATATTTAGCTCCTGGTCTTTGTGCTAGTTTTAATATTCTACTTCTTCATCCTCCCTGGAAATTTTCTCATTATTTTCACCATAAGGTCAGACCCTGGGCTCACAGCCCCCCTCTATTTATTTCTGGGCAACTTGGCCTTCCTGGATGCATCCTACTCCTTCATTGTGGCTCCCAGGATGTTGGTGGACTTCCTCTCTGAGAAGAAGGTAATCTCCTACAGAGGCTGCATCACTCAGCTCTTTTTCTTGCACTTCCTTGGAGGAGGGGAGGGATTACTCCTTGTTGTGATGGCCTTTGACTGCTACATCACCATCTGCCTGCCTCTGCAGTATTCAACTGTCATGAACTCTAGAGCCTGCTATGCAATGATGTTGGCTCTGTGGCTTGGGGGTTTTGTCCACTCCATTATCCAGGTGGTCCTCATCATCCGCTTGCCTTTTTGTGGCCCAAACCAGCTGGACAACTTCTTCTGTGATGTCCGACAGGTCATCAAGCTGGCTTGCACCGACATGTTTGTGGTGGAGCTTCTGATGGTCTTCAATAGTGGCCTGATGACACTCATGTGCTTTCTGGGACTTCTGGCCTCCTATGCAGTCATTCTTTGTCGCATACGAGCGTCTTCTTCTGAGGCAAAAAACAAGGCCATGTCCACATGCACCACCCATATCATTGTTATATTCTTCATGTTTGGACCTGGCATCTTCATCTACACGTGCCCCTTCAGGGCTTTCCCAGCCGACAAGGTGGTTTCTCTCTTCCACACAGTGATTCTTCCTTTGTTGAATCCTGTCATTTATACCCTTCATAACCAGGAAGTGAAAGCTTCCATGAAAAAGGTGTTTAATAAACACATAGCCTGAAAAAGGGCAAAAAAAAAAAAAAGAATAAAAATAGACTGTAGAATTTTATCTGAAATTGATTTGTTTATTTCCAAGTACTGCAATCATTGAATACCTCCCATTTGTCAGGACTATTCTAGGAACTGAAGAAAGAAAGTATTGAGGCAGATAAGGTCTATCTGCTCTCCAAGAGATACAACCTAGTAAAAATAGACCGCCGTTAAGGTAGAAAATAAACAGCATAGTTTCAGGAAGAGATACTGCTCTGTAAAAACTAAAACGAAAAGTGAAATGATAAACTGTGACTCTGGATTGGGAGTAACCAATTTGTGTTTAATAATAAAAAAAGGCCTTGAAGAGCTGACATTTTGGATCATATCTGGATAAACTGAAGAAGCCAAACATGCAAACATTTGTGGCTATAGTATGGTAGACAGAGGGCACAGGCAGTGCAAAAACTCAAAGATGATGATGAACTTGGTATATTTGAAGAATACAATAAAGTCCATGTTACCAAGAATATAGTAATTTAATGTGAAAATGATTAAACTTAAAGTTAGAGATACTGGTAGTGTCAAAAACATATGGTCTACATAGTAAATGTGAGTTTTCATTTTATTACAATTACAATAAGAAGCCATTCTGTGGCTTTAAGCAAAAGAGTGATTCCTCTACTGAAGGGTCATAAATGACTTAGGGCTGTAAACTCAAGATTCTATGCAGATATCAAAGAGTTGAAAAATATCATTAAGAGGAAAATATTATATTTGTAAGTGCACTTTGAAAGATATTAAACTACCAATTTTTCTTACATACATAAGCAGAGAGTGGCAAAAGAAAGCTGGTTACTTTTACTGAAAAAGATCAAAAAAAATTTTACTTTTTTTTTCTGGAGCTTCATTATTAATCCTAGCAAATTTTTATGACTTTTAGCTGTATGTTTGACCTTATTGCCAATTGATTTCACTGTAAGTTTAATAATGACAGTCTTTTCATAGACCAATCAGGATTTTGTGTCAGAGAGAAGAAACCATTCCAGCTATTTTAAACAAAACATCATTTAATATCAAGAGAGGTGTTCACAAAATCACTGCAAAGTCTAGAAGAGCAGACTATAGGCTGGACACCCAGAGATGACTTACAGACTAACACAGGTGACCTATGTTGTCAGGGAAGTTGTTCTTGCTACAATCTTAGCCATCTGTTGTCTGAAAAACACTACAATTTTAGCCATGTGCCTGGGATCAAGTTGATGATCCGGAATCACTTTGGACCTAACAAATCGCCCCTAGTATAACAGAAGCCTATCCTACTGCCTCCCTTTAACTAGCTTACTACATATTCAAATCTCAAATGAGTGCATTAAATGGGCAGCATCCAAAACATCTGGAACCCCAAATGCAAGGGGGTCAAAAATTGAGTTTTAAAATATTTTATTTTTGATAAAAACCAAAGTTTATACTTAGGAATATAAATT
The DNA here is from genome assembly GCF_000001405.40 of Homo sapiens. Classification (NCBI taxonomy): domain Eukaryota; kingdom Metazoa; phylum Chordata; class Mammalia; order Primates; family Hominidae; genus Homo; species Homo sapiens. Next base: position 21,685,418 of record NC_000015.10, read on the forward strand.
TTGTACATGGTAAAAATATTCAGACTATAGAAAAAGTGGTCTGAATCTTCAAATAATCCTTCTCTATTATCACTCTGTTTATTGTGTTGCTTCCTGTTTTACTGAGAAAGGTAACAGGTGAGAATTCCTTAATCTCCCATCACTACCACTATACAACCTGCATCTGTGATTAAGTTTCCTTTAACTTCTCCTGAAACTGGGTGACCTGATCCTGCTCCTACAGAAGTAAACCCTTCCACCTGTGCACCAGATTCCATCCCGTCCTCTCTACTAAAGGCAATTACTCTGGTAACTCTCCTTTCTCTCACCTATAACATGAACTTTGTCCTCCCTATTGGGTGTAACCTTTAGCGTGTAACCGCATTTATTCCCTCCTAAATAAAACCTTCTTGCCACCTTTTCCCCTGTCCATGTCACTTCATGAGTCTTTGTGTCTCCACATGAATTTTAGGATTTTTAAAAATTTCTTTAAAAAATGATGTTGGGATTTTCACAGAGATTGTATTGAATCTATAGATTGCTTCAGGTAGTGTGGATATTTTAACAATATTAATTGTTCTATTCCATTAACACAGAAAGTCTTTCCGTTTATTTCCATCTGCTTTAATTTCTTTCATCAATGTTTTACAGTTTAAGTGTACAAGTCTTTCACCTCTTTGTTTAAGTTTACTCCTAAATATTTTATTTTTTGGTTCTAATGGAAATGAGATTAATTTCTTAATTTCCCTTTTAGATAGTTCTTTTTTATTGTATAGAATTGAAATGATTTGTTTCTTTTGTAGATTTTTAAATTTATAAATATTTAATTGACACATAAAGATCAAATATATTCAAGGTATATGAAATGATAATTTGATATACATATACATTGTATAATGATTACCACAATCAAATTAACACATTAATCACCATCCATGTTGTACATTAGTTACCAAGAATGTGTTTATCTTAGGGCTGAAAGTTTGTACCATTTGACCAACATATTCCCCTTTTCTCTGACTTCAAAACCCTCTGACAACCACTGTTCTACTCTCTCCTTCAATGAGCTTTTTTTTTTTTTTTTCAGATTCTACATGTAAGTGAGATCATATAGTGTCTGTCTTTCTGTGTCTGGCTTATTTCACCTACCGTAATGTCTATTAGGTTTATCTATGTTGCTGCAAAGGGCAAAACTTCCTTCTTTCTTTGGCTGGATGATAATCTATCACATATATGTACCACAATTTTTATACTCATTCATCAATTGATGTACACTTGGGTTGTTTCCATATTTTGGCTATAGTGAATGATGCTGCAGTGAACATAGCAGTATAGTTATCTTTTAGAGATACTTATTTCATTTCCTTTGGGTATATATCTAGAAGTGAGATTGCTGGAACATATGGAAGTTTTATTTTTTATTTTTTGAAGAACATCTATATTGTTTTCCATAATGCCTGTGCCAATTTACATTCCCATCAATACTGTGAAAGGGTTCCCTTTTCTCCACATCCTTACCAACACTTGTTATCATGTGTCTTCTCATAATGGCCATTACAGTAGGTATGAGGTGATGTTTCATTGCGGTTTTAATTTCATTTTCCCAATGGTTGATGATGTTGAGCACCTTTTCATATACATGTTGGCTATTTCTATGTCTGTTTTGGGAATATGTCTGTTAAAATCTTTGCCAATTGTAAAAATCAGGTTGTTTGTTGTTTTACTGTTGACTTGCGTACTTCCTAATATATTATGAGTATTAACCCCTTATCATACATATGGTTTACTAATATTTTCTCCCATTCGATAGGTTACCTTTTAATTTGGTCAATTGTTTCTTTTGTGGCGCAGTGGAATTTTTAGTTGATATAGTCCCACTTGTTTATTTTTTGTTGCCTGTGCTTTTGTGGTCATATCCAAAAAATGATTGCCAAGACTGTTGTCAAGGTGTTTTTTCCTTATGTTTTCTTCTGGTAGTTTTACAGTTTCAGGTTTTACATTTAAATCTTTAATTCATTTCCAGTTAGTTTTAGTATATGTCATAAGACAAGACTTCAGTTTCTTTCTTTTGCATGTGGATATTTAGCTTTTACAACAGCATTTATTAAATAGACTTTTCTTTTCCCATTGTGTATTATTGGCACCCTTGTCAAATCTTAGTTGGCCATATATGTGTGAATTTATTTTTGGGCTCCCTACTGTGTTCCATTGTTATGTGTCATGTTTTTATAGTACCATACTGTTTTAATTAATATGGCTTTGTAGTAGAGTTTGAAGCAGTGAGTGTGATGCTTCCAGCTTTGTTCCTTTTTCTCAAAATTACTTTGGCTATTTAGAGTCTTGTACAAGTACATACAAATTTGGTTTTGTTTTTTCCATTTCTATGATGAATGCCATCGGAATTTTAATAGGGACTTGATAGAATCTGTAGGTAATTTAATTATTTTAGATATTTTAACAATATTAATTTTTTAAAATTAATGTACATAGGTATATTTACTTTTAATTCTCTTTTTCCATTTATTTCATCAATGTATTATAGTTTTCAGTGTACAGAGATTAAACCTCCTGGTTGAATTTATTCCTAAGTATTTTGTTTTAATTTTTTATAGTTATAAATGGGATTGTTTTCTTGACTTCCTTTTCAGATAATTCATTGTTACTGTTCAGAGATACCACTAGTTTTTGTATGTTCATTTTTTAATCTGCAGCTTTATGAACTCACTTATTCTAGAAGGTTTTTTTGAGGACATCTTTAGGATTTTCTCGATATAAGATCACGTCATCTGCAAACAGACAATTTTACTTCTTCTTTTGCAATTTGGTTGCCTTTTATTTCTTACCTACTTACTCTAGCTAGTACTTTCAGTAATATATTGAGTAGACTCGGTGAGAGTGGGCATCCTTATTTTCTTTCTGATCTTAGAAGGAAAGCTTTCAATTTTTCACCATTGAATATGATGTTAGCTGTGCGATTGTAATATGTGGCATTTATCACTGTGGTAGGTTCCTTCTAAGCATAGTTTTTATGATGAAGGATGTTGAATTTTGTCAATGCCTTTTCTGCATCTATTGAGGTAACCATATGGTTTTTGCCTTTCATTCTGCCAATGTGGTATATCACATTTATTGATTTGCATATGTTCAAATATCACTGTGCTTGCTAACCATGAATTATCCTTTTAATGTGCTGCCAGATTTAATGTGTTAGTATTCTGGCATTTATGTTCATCAGAGACACTGGATTGAACTTTTCTTTTAGTATCCACCTGTGGCTTAGGTATCAGAGTAATGCAGGCCTTCTAAAATGAGTATGCCTATTCAATTTCAATAAATTGGTATTAGTTCTTTTTCAAATGTTTGGTAAAATTTAAAACAGAATCCATTAGGTCCTGGGCTTTTCTTTGCTGTGAGATTTTTGAAACTATTGATTCAATTTTATTCCTTATTGATCGGTTAAGATTTTTTATTTCCTCTTAATTTAATTTTGACAAATTGTGTCCAGAAATTTATCTATTTCTTCAAGGTTATTCAATTTGTTGTAGTATAGTTGTTAAAACTTACACAAATTAAGTTTTTTCTATAATTTTTGACATATTTATAATATCATGTATTCATTTCTACAGCATTAGAAAGAATAATTTCTTCACCCTAAATTGTTCTTCAACTTAAATTATTCCACTCTTCTTTCTTCTCCTTGTACTCTTGGTAACCACCAGTCTTTTACTGTCTCTATAGTTTTAATTTTTCTAGAATGTCATACAATTGGAGTCATACAGTATATAACCTTTCAAAACTGGCTTCTTTCAGCTAGCATTATGCATTTAAGATTCATTCATGCTTTTTTATGGCTTGGTAGTTAATGACCTTTTTATTGCTGAATAACATTCTATTGTAAATATAGCACAGTTTGTTTATTCATACACTCGTTGAAGAACATTGTGATTGTCTCCAATTTTTGGCTGTTAGGGAATGAAGTTGCTGTAAACATTCATGACTGGGTTTTTGTGTACACATGTTTCAAATCAGTTGGGTAAGTGCCTGGGAGTGTGATCATATGGTAAGGCTATGCTCAGCTTTGTAAGAAACTTCCAATTTGGTCAAGATGTCTGACTAGTTGCAGACAGATAGAACAGCTGTCACTGTGGGACTGGGATGACTGGCACAGTCCTAACAGGTCCTCAAGACACAAAAGCTGGGCAGAAGCTGGGTGGGGCTACCGTGCAATGGGACTCGTTCCTCACCCCCAAGAACTTTGGGGGAATGGGTGAGTTGAACTGGCAAGAAGCAACCTACTCTTGCCACAAGCCTCTGGAATCCCACCGGGAGGAGACCCCTCAACCACTACAGACACAGAGTTGGCAGGGGAAGTGCTTAGAGGAGTGGTAGGAGCAGCATGGTAGCCGATATGGAGCCCAGAGGGTTTGTTGCAGGAACATCTATAGCAGAGCACGGCCAGGGATACCCATCTCTCCAGACTTGACTTGCCTCCATAGGAGACTTTAGCCCTAGGGGAACTGTCAGATATGAATTCTGCAGGGCAGTCTTCCCATCAGATGGGGCAGATCCAACCTTAGTACCCCCTGGTCTGCTGACCTCTCCCAGTGCTCCAGCCTGGTTTTTTTCTGCTTGCAGTACAGACTCAGGTTCCCTGGGGACCCGCATCTTAGCTTCTGCAATGGCAGACCATATCTAATTGGTGGAGAGCTCCAGCGGGGTGGCCCCTAGGGCCATGCACCAACCTGCCTGCTCCCTCCCTCTGCTGCAGCTTCTTCCAAGCCCATGGCCAACCACCCCTGCCCCCTGACATCATTTGGCTGGCTTGTATGTGTGCAGGTGGATTTTCCCTTCCCTTCACCACCAGCTTGTGTGAGCACGTGTACGCTGCCCTGCCTCTGCTGCCAGCAGGAGTGCACTCTGCTCCCCTTCCTCGGCCATACTACCATTGCAGTCAGAGCTGTAGTGGGCACAGAGCCCACCAGTCCTGCCTCTGTCAGTGACCTGCCCCTGTGCCAACACTGCCACCAGAATGAAACTAGGCACTGAAAACAATGAACCCTCCCCTGCCCTGAGTAGCCACAGAGGGTGCACACACACCTGAACCCACCAGTGTCCTGCCCCCATACTAACACCACCATCAGTGCACCAATGCACACAGTCACCAATGGGGGCCTGCTGACCCCCCAAGTTATGCTGACTCTACCCCTGCTGTCAATGCCTTCATGGAGGCAGGCATCTCAGCACCTGCTAGCAGTCTGCTGCAGCTGACAAGCATGCATCCTGATTTAATACTGCTGGTTCTGGTGCTGCTGAGGGCACCTGTGAATGAGGACAGACCCCCCCCCCTACTGCCACCACACTACAAAACCCTTTGACTAGCACCATTCCATCAACGTGTAGTGACCAGCAGTCCAGGAGCACCTTAGCACCCCCATCACAGTCTGTTCATAATCTTGAGAAGTCAGAGAACAAAGTAGGGTAGGATATAAGTCCCCCAGAATTAAAACATGCAGCTGGGGAGATGACAGCTGAACCTTGGTCCCCAAAATCTTCCAGAAATAAAGCCAGTTGACTGAACCCACTTTATAACACAATCAAACTCTCAAAGTCATCTAATAAGATAAAAAAAAAATCCAAAGGACAAGAACTTCAAAGATTGAAAAAACACTAGCCCACAAAAATGAGAAAAAAACAGTGCAAGAACTCTGACAAGTCAAAAAGCCAGCATGCTGTCTTTCCTCCGAATGCCTCCACCAGCTCTCCACCAAAAGTTTTTAACTGAACTGGGTTGGCTGAAGTGACACAAATAGAATTTGGAGTATGGATAGAAATGAAGAGCAACAAGGTACAGGAGTATGTTGAAACCCAATCCAAGGAAGCTAAGAATCACAATAAAACAATGCAGGAGCTGACAGACAAAATAGACAGTATAGAAAAGAACATAACTGACCTGATAGAACTGAAAAACACACTGCAAAAATTTCATGATGCAATCACAACTATTAACAGCAGAATAGACCAAGCAGAAGAAATGATATTAGTGCTTTAAGACTGGCATTCTGAAACAAGACAGGCAGACAAGAATAGAGAAAAAAGAATGAAAAGGAAGAAACAAAACCTCTGATAAATATGTTTATGTAAAGAGAACAAATCTATGATTCACTGGTGTCCCTGAAGGAGATGGGGAGAATGGCAGCAACTTGGAAAACATATTCCAGGATATCATTCATGAGAACTTCCTCAACCTAGCTAGAGAGGCTAACATTCAAATTCAGAAAATACAAAAACCCATTTAAGGTACTTCACAGGAAGATCACCTCCAGGACACATAATTATCAGATTTTCCAAGGTTGAAATGAAAGAAAAAAATGCAAAAGGCAGCCAGAGAGAAAGGTCAGGTCACCTACAAAGGGAAGCCCATAAGACTAAGCAGACCTCTCAACAAAAACTCTACAAACCAGAAGAGGTTGGGGGCCAATATTCAAGATTCTTAAAGAAAAGAAATTCCAAACTAGAATTTTACATCTAGCCAAACTATGCTTCATAAGTGAAGGAGAAATAAGATCCTTTTCAGACAAGCAAATGCTGAGGGAATTTGTTACTACCAGACTGACCTGCCTTACAAGAGCTCCTGAAGGAAGCACTAAATAAGAAAAGGAAATATCATTACCAACCACTTCAAAAATACACTGAAGTACATAGACCAATGACACTAGAAAGCAGCCACACAAACAAGTATGTATGGTAACCAACTAACAGCATGATGACAGGATCAAATCTACACATATCAATACTAACTTTGAATGTAAAAGGGGTAAATGCCCCAATTAAAAGGCACAGAGTGATAAGCTGGATAAAAAAGCAAGACCCAATGGTATGCTGTCTCAAGAGACATGCAGTGACACGCATAGGCTCACATGCAATGACACGCATAGGCTCACATGCAATGACACACATAGGCTCACATGCAATGACACCCATAGGCTCATATGCAATGACACCCATAGCCTCAAAATAAAGGGATGGAGGAAAATCTACTAAGTAAATAGAAAACATAAAAAATACAGAGATTGTAATCCTAATTTCAGACAAAACAGACTTTAAACCAACAAAGATAAAAAAAGACAAAAAAGGGTAATGACATAATGGCAAAGGGTTCAATTCAACAAGTAGTGCTAACTATCCTAAATATACGCGCACTTAACACAGGAGCACCCTGTTCAAACAAATTCTTAGAAACCTACAAAGAGACTTAGACTCACACACAATAATAATGAGAGACTTCAACACCCTACTGACAGTATTAGACACATCACTTAGGCAGAAAATTAGCAAAGATATTCAGGACCTTAACTCAGCACTGGATCAAATGGACCTGATAGATGTTTACAGAACTCTCCACCAAAAAGCAACAGAATATACATTCTTCTCATCACCCCATGGCACATATTCTGAAACTGTTTCATGGAGGAAACTGTTTCATGGAGAGGAAGCCACAGGGCTGACAGGAAACCAGACCTTAACCTCCCTCTGCACCTGCCCTGAGGCTGGCTCTTGTGCTCAGTGGGTCCTGAGCGTCCCCAGGTGGTCCTGTTCCCTCTTCAGGGAGGCTTGTTTCTGGGCTCATACTGACATTTTTTCTAATTGTGTTCCCCAAAATGGAGACAGAGTAAACCGTGAATCCATGCATCTCAGAGAACACAGAACAGCAGAATTACACCCACTGATCCCCCCACACACATTTAGGTAAATCTTATTAAAACTGCTGAAAAGGAAAGACAAATAGAAATATATGCAGGCAAGTGGAGGTGAGCAGAGGGGGCATTCCTTCCAAAAGAACAGAAAAGATGATGACAGCATTCTTCTGGTTAAAACCTTACAAGCAAGAGGAAAGTTGATGGTATCTGTAAAGTGTTGGATGAAAAGTCAACCCATTATTTTATAACGCATGGGTGTTCTCTAAAAAGTGAAAAAAAATTCTATTTCTCTTCGACAGCATGAGGGTTTCAGTGAATCCAGGCCCTCATGAGACCAGTGAAAATTATTTTGAAAAATTACAGGGTTTGGAAAGGCTCTAACAGCATAAAGCAAGTGAAGAAATATTTATTCAAGAAAATCTAGAAAACTCGGTAAGGCCAGTCATCATGCTTGATCTAAGATGATCTTCCTTCCTTCCACATCCCAGCTCAGCATGATGTAAACTCCACTGCCGACAGATGCAGCCAAGAAGACAGGACACCTTCTACCAACTCCCACCAGAGGAAACTCTTCCCCAGGGCCCAGTACGTTGGCCCTCTGACCCTGCACACAGCACATGATGCTGAGGTTCAGTGCTGAACAAGAGCTACCGAGAGCCAGAGACTCACTTCTTCCATGGAGCCCCACTCATGGATGGAGGCTCTGCCCCGGGTCCAGTGCCACTGGGAACACTGGGTCTCTGGTTTCTAGCTCTGTCCTATGGCAGAGGTTCCACCCCACAATAACCGAAGTGCTGAGAAGGTGGGAAGCTCCTGCCCGACCCTCCACTGAGAGCTCAGCTCCTAGGCTGAGGAATAAAACAGCTCAACTTTGTCTACACCTGCAGAACCTTGTTTAGGAGCTCTGTCCCAGGAGAGAGGGAGCAATGGAATTCAGTCATAAAATATGATCCTTAATTAGTCCTAAAAATCCTAACTTCAGTAACAACAGAATGTGGACAAATTGAAAGCCTGCCAGTGCTCTCAAAAACAGTGGATGGTGTGGTGGAAAGCCCTTGGAAGGAGATGGGTGGATGCATGGGAGATGCAGGCTACACTGCAGGGCTGCTGGCTTGCAGGAGAGAACCGAGAATGAGGGAGAGCTGGGGAAAGTTCTCTTGTGGTTGAAACAAATGCCAGACACTCTTCAATGGAGCCCATGTTTGTTTGGTTCAGTCTGTGAAGTAATTCAAACCTCAGTGCATGATTGAAAATAGTACAATTTTCCATCTGCAAGTGGCAGCCCTGGATGACTGGATGGTCTATAATTGGGACACGTATCTAGACTCAACGATGCCTGGATGGAAAATGTGCAGGCTGCTCCACTGATGTCAGCTGTTTCATCACAGTTTTATGATTTAATAAAAGTCATATTTTTTTTCATTTTTGCACATCAAATTTTTTTCTGTGATCCATATTCCTAAGCCCATCTTTGAGCTCACAGCCCTTTCCCAAGAAATCAACATCTAGACCTCCCTCTTCTCGGGGCTCCGAGGTGATTCCTGAGTGGCATCCTCTCCACCTCCCTGCTGGGAACAGAGCCAGTTGCAGGGCTCACGGGCAGCCTTAGAATGTCTGCTCCTCCGGGGTGTCCCCCTGCTTCTCACTGGAGAAGAGGCCTCTGGGGTGGTCACAGCCTCTTTCTCCACATGAACCCTGAGAGTTCTTCCTGAGCTACACAGCTGGGGGAAGACTGCCCTAAGAGACGTGAAAAGAGAGACATGGGAAGTGAGGTGTCTCAGCTCTTGTCTCCCCTGGGTGGTGTGGCCTGACCTCACCAGAGCCCCAGCCTAACCCACCTGACCTGTCCCCAGGAGCTGTACTGAGCGATGGCTGCACCTGCTCAGTTACCTGTGGGGCCCAGTGCCTCTGAGAGAGGTGCCCAGTGAGGGCTCTGCAGGGCTCCCCCCGAGCAGGAGCTGGGCTGAGGGAAATCAGCAGGAGGTAGGGGCTGCCCAGGCCCTGGGGAGGCAGGCAGCGTGGAGAGGACACAGAGGTGCACTGGGAGGGCGCAAGCCAGTCAGGACCACCCTCTCAGCTCTGAGAAATGAGCTATGCTCACGGAATGCTCACAGTCAAATCCTGCTGGGAGGGCCATCCTCTGCTCGGGTTCTCTACTGTCCAGGGCAGGAATGACTCATGTGGCCATTCAGAGGCGAGGCCCCACCAGGAAGCATCCACTGACTGCCCAAGGCTGTGCATCCCCATAGCGCTGAGCTCATGTCCCTGACCTGTGGCCTCTGGGCCCACACTCTGCTCAAAGTTCCCTCAGGGGGATGAAGGGAGAGGCGGGCCCTAGGGCAAGGGTGCCCAGGAGGAGAGAAGGAAAAGGCAAGCATGTCTTCATCAGTGGGGTTTTCTCCTGAGAGCAGAATTCATTTCCACACCTTCCAAGTTCCCTCTTGTGGCTGGCACTTCTCTGACCTGGAGCCCCAGATGGCGGGGCACTCAGAAGAGGGAGGGTCATTCCTGGGAGCAGATAAGGCCTCCTCCTTCTCCAGCTCCTGAATCAGAAACTGAGGCCTCCCCTGGACCTTCCCTGCTTATGACTGAGGCCTCCCACGTGCAAAGCACACCTTCATCTTGCACTGAAGTCTCAGGACCTGGAGAGCACCTCCACACGGGGGGCTGGATCCTCCTGGAACTGTAAGCCTTGCCCAGAAAGCCCTGAAGGGGAGCAGGGAGGCGGCAGCAGCACAGCCTTCTTCAGCTTCCAGGGGAAGGGATGAGGGAGGCGGGTGGACGAGCTTCCAACCGGCATGGCATGGGATGCTGAAAAACGCGATGGGCTCTGGCCTATTGGAGCCATCTCTCCTTGTCCTGTACCTGCCCCTTGGGGGTTTAGGGCAGAGGAAATGTTGGCTTGTTGTGTGAGTCAGATAAACAGGTGGGGAGAATGGGCCCGTATGCCCTGGTTTGCACAGGAAAGGTGTGCTCACCAGCAAGTGTTTCTTCTAGAAATTAAGTAATCCTGGGACAGGCTTTTCCTCCCCAGTTCCACAAGACTCCAAGATGTCAGAGTATCATAAACACGGAGAATAAGGACACAGGATTAACCCAACCCAACCTCTGATGGTTTCATGTCATGTGAAGGAATTTTTGGAGTGTTGATGCTGAAGAGTTTACAGAGTGTGGCTACATCAGTTGCCCTAAAGGATATAGAAAACATTTTACTGTGAGAGTAGAGAGGAGGAACACAAGTAGAAGTATCAAGAGTCGCTGCCAGCCAGCCCATAAATAGGTTTCCCATTTGTATGACAGCCAAGAAACCTGGTCTGAGACAGCTGGGGTCGCAAACAATGTCTTGGTGCAGTTATAAATTTCTTTATGCATGTATTTTTCTAACAATAATATTTTGGTGTCTTTCTTGGGTCAAGGTGGCAGGTCCTCTAGTCACATTGTTGGAGTGCATGGATGGATGGGTTAGTAAATTATTTCTCAAGATTAGTGGTAATCAAAAGGTGGAAGTGTTGGTGGTGGTCGTAGTTCAGAGATGCGGGTTGGGAGTGGGAAAAGTTACTGGGGAGTGGGTGGTTCTCTCCTCATGGTGTCAAAGGGTTGATGGATATGAGGCAGGTTCCTTTGTGTGCAGCAATGACCTCTGCTGATTTTCAGACTGACAGAGATGGTAGTAACCACTATCAGATTTCTCTGTATGAACAGAAATGTAGTGTAGCATGTTGTGGCAAACAGCAAGGAGTGCACTGGGATCCTGGACCAAATGGACAGCAAGCTCAGGGAGCACAATAGGATCCCTAGTATCCAAGGGACAAAAGCAAGGCATGTCCAATGCCTTATTGTTTCATTGAGAGACTTCCCAGGCCATGACTGGTGTTAAGGTTTAGGGCACAACTGTCTCCAGCTCGCCGGGGAAAAGCCAAAGCCACCTCCAGCTTTGAGCCCTGGGCCAGGCCGATGTGCTCTAGGATGGGGTACTAGGGTGTCCTTTCCAGGTGGGCATGTGCTCAAGCGGACTGACTGGCTATCAGCACTTGCCGTGTTTGGTTGAAGTGATGGCCTATTTGGAGGTTTCTGCCCTTTGGATTATAACAAATAAGTCCACAATACAAGCAGCCACATGGACAATGGTGAGACCAGCAGTCAACAGAGGGGTGCTTGGCTGCAGTTGGCAGGTGTTGATGTTGTTTTCATTTGTTTTTTGAGTTTGTTTTTGTGGAACTTTACGTTCAAATGGGCTCATATCAGATGAGCAGCCGACTGACCCACGGGACCCTCTATGGCTAATCATCCGAGGAGAGTTTTTACCCTCAATAGGTTCTCCAGCCCTTATGAGATAAGAGCAACATCAAACATTTGTAAAGATATGGAAATAATATTTTAAATAGCCTCAATAATGCAATGAATATAAGCCTATAAGTATCTCAAAGGGTGATGGAGAAGTCCTGAAAGCTGGGATGAGGGCGACTCAGCTAAGAGCCTTGAATTTAGGGAGAGTTAGTTCTACAGAAGTTGGAGATCCATTGGGTGTCCATTTACTGGAGTGGAATTTGAAGGAATTGTTTGAGGAGATCAGTATGTCTCTGAGTTAAACCAGCCCATAATTAAGTTCTATTGAATGGGGCCTAAGAGGCATGAAGTTCTATCAAGTGGCTTTTTCTGTATCCAGCATTGTGTGTTTTGAAAAGTAAAATGTGTGACTTGGTTACTGTCAGCAAAGTATGCAATTTTGAAGGACATTAGTGTCCCACCAAAGCCTCGTATTGTGAACTTATTATGTGCAGAGATATGAGCCACTTGATTTATATTTTCAGTGTCTGGGAGGCAAGAGACTTTCAGATTTCCTTACCCTGAAGACAGCTCTTAAACAACGTCTGAGCTGTTTATAATAAATGTGGAAATGGAGCCATTGGTTCGATAGGGCACCCAATGCTGGTGTGACTGCCTGATGTCTGCCTAATTTTGGGGATCCCCAGCCCCATCCTTTGTTGGGACATATGGCCAAGAGAGGGAGAGCAGAAGCATGCCCCAAGCCCCATCACTTGTCATCCTTGCAGCCCGCAAATGCCAGTCACTGTCCACTCAGTGAGTCCCAGCGTTCTTCCCATGTGGCCGAGAGGTGGCCTCCTCCAGCACTTGGGCACCTGCCAGGTGACTGTGGATATAGGAAGCCAGTCCTGCTGCAAGCAGAAATGACAGAGGGCCTGGGTGTTGCTTTATCCTGTCTTAAGAAGGCCTCTGGAGCCATGCTAAGTGTGTGGGGTGCTGTTCCCGTGACCCCAAACACAATAGTTAGCTGGATGTGTCCAAATAGTCCAGGTTGTAGACAGCAATGTTCAGTTGAATGATTTATAGTCCAAGGCCAAAGGGAGCAGTTACTTGCCTTGGAAACTGTCGAGCATCTTAAGGCCACATTGATCGCCCAGAGACACCAGGAGGCATGAGAAGGGTTTGCCAAGTTTCTTTAGTGAAGGAGTTTCTGAGGATACTAACAGAAGAGCCTGTTGATTTTAAATTAGGCACACTGTTGAGCCTTTTGTTGAAGGAAATTTCATTTAGGGGAGGTGATTTATAAGTAGCAACAACAGCGAGGCTAGTTGAAATTTATGGGTGAGGAATATGTTGCACCAGAACCCACAAGGAACAGCAGGATGTGGCATTTGTATGTCCTTAATGAAAGTATGGGGAGCATCTCCTCAGAGGAGGTGTCAGCAGTGCTGCGGAGGAAGGCAGATGCAGTGAGGAGCCAGCCTGCGAAGCTCTCATGTGGTGGCCACGCCGCTGAGGTGCCCGCGTATCCTGAGAAGGGTGTCCTTCCCAGGCAAAGACAATCTGCAGCTAAGGGGCTGCTGAGATGGGCGCTGAGTACAACCAATTAGACACATCTGGAAGAGCAAAGTCTGCACTGGCTGTTGGTTAAAGCCAGTCGTTTTGAGAACATTGGGAGTATGGGGCCCTAATGGGTGGGGCCACGGCATGAAAGTTGTGACAATCCAACATAGGGCAACCTTCATGCTATTGTCTTTTCTTCTTCACCGGTTTAAGAACAGGCAAGATTTGGCTGTGAAATAGAGAAGCAATGGGAAAAATCACCTCTTTATTGATTAGATTTGTATAATAGTTTTTAATCTTCGAAGGTCCATTTTCACTTCTGTTGGAATATATTAACTACATAAACTGGAACTCTTTGAGTTCCATTTTATCAAGCCAATGCACAAGTGCCAAACACCTCATTCCATTTTAATTTAATTCATTGTGTCAGAGTGTATGCCCAATATGAGATATTTTAGGACAAAGGACATTATGATCATGTGAAATCTAGGCAAGGCAACCGCTAAAGTGCGGTGTGTCTATTTCTTCTTCCAAATATATTGATTTCTATTTAATTATCTTAAGTTCACATGGGATACATGTTTAAATCTTGAAATCTAATGAATTTCCTAGGTATAGCTATTATTGGAGCCCTGGTATTGATCACAAAGTTTGCCAATTGGTGCAATCCCAAAAATGCTAAAGTGAAATTACAATGGACCAGTATACAGTTCCAAGGTCAGAGTCTGGAAGGCGTTTCACAGAACTAAAGACTTGAGCACCAGCCATGCTGCTTCCTTCTAGAGTTATCTGGGAGAATCTATCTCTTGCCTTTGCCAGCTCCTAGGGGCGCCTGCGTTCCCCGGCTGGTGGCTGTGTGACTGACCTCCGCTTCCATCCCACACCTCCCCAGTCTTGGACTCTGCTGCTCCTCTTTCTCCTCATCAGGACCCCAGGGCATATGGCATGCACAGGCCAGGGTGACTGTAACATCCAAGGGCCTCTATCACGTCAGCCCAGTCCCTTTGGCCCTGCAGGTGATGTCTTTGTAGAGCCCCAGGACTATGGCATGGGCATCTTTGGGGGGCATTCTTCTGCCTGCTGCAGGATCTAGATTCCCCTCTCTAGAACCTGTAGTGTAGAGGGGCACGAAGCCAACCAGCTTCATTTTCAATTTTTGTCTTAGAAGTTATTTCAGTACAGAATTTTGTATATAAACTTTGGATTTCTAATTGGTCAAATGATGGACATTTATTTAAATTTAGTTATATATATACATTATATATACCAAAGTGATATATAATTATATAAATAATTATAATACTGTTATAATTATATAAATAATTATAATACTGTCATAATTATATTAGAAATATACTATTATAATTTTATAATAATTACATTTATATAAAATATCTATATGTAGTTTCATGATTATTTAGTTCCTTTTCATTTTTGGAACCTATGCTAATATTTCCCCTCTATTGCTCCTCTTTCCCTAAGGTCTCGAGTTCCTCTGAGCCTGATGATGAGCCAGGACAGGAAGGGGCCTGGGCCTCCAGGCAGCAGCATCTCTCCAGGATGCCCCCAGCCACAGCATAAGGAATTCCTACACTTTTGTTATCTTAAACAAAACCTTCTAGAATTCCTTCTAACTCTAGGAGACTGAAATGTATTTTTCTTTCTTTCAACTGTCTCCTGTCTGTCCCTGACTCCCTCACTCCGTTTTTTAATGTTTGGCCATTTATCTCATGAGCTTACTAAAAATAAATTGTATACTCAGCAATGGATAACATAGAAGAAATGGATAAATTCCTAGATATGTACAATCTTCCAAGATTGAATCTTGAAAAAGTAGAAACAGAACTATTACTAGTAAAAGACTGAATCAGTAATCGAAAGCGAGCTTGGAACCACTTCCAAAAGTTTTTTTGTTTGTTTGTTTGTTTGTTTTTTGAGATGGAGTCTCGCTCTGTTGCCCAGGCTGGAGTGCATGGCATGATCTCTGCTCACTGCAAGCTCCACCTCTCAGGTTCACGCCATTCTCCTGCCTCAGCCTCCTGAGTAGCTGGGATGACAGGTGCCCACCACCATGCCCGGCTAATTTTTTGTATTTTTAGTAGAGATGGGGTTTCACCTTGTTAGCCAGGATGGTCTCGATCTCCAGACCTTGTGATCCACCCATCTCGACCTCCCAAAAGTTTTAAGATGAAGAAATACTTCTAAACTTATTTTATAAAGTCAGCATTGCCCTGAAATCAAAACCAGGCAAACACCAAATTAACATAAATTACAGACCACTCTTACTGAAACACAAAGATGCAAAAAGTACTCAACAAAATATTGGCAAATCAAACTGAACAGCACATTACAAGGATCATTTGCCATGATCCAGTGGAATGTCTCTCTGGAATATTGGGATGGTGCAACATCTAAACATCACTGAATCTGATGGACCACATTAACATAATGAAAGACTAAAATATTATCTCATCAGATGCATAAAAATCATTTGACAAATTTCAACATCTTTCCATGATAAAACCTCTTAACAAACTACAAATAAAGGGAAATTATCTGGACATATTGAAAGCCATATTTAAAAGCCCACAGTTAGCATCATAGCCAATGCTGAAACACTGAACAAGCTTCCACTTAGATGATGGAGAAGACAAGGATGCCCTATCTCACCAATTCTGTTCTACATAGTATTGTAAGTCCTAGTCAGAGAACTTAGGCAAGAAAAAGTTACTAAATCAGAAAGAGAGGAGTAAAGGTGTCACTGTTTACAGATGACATGTCTTGTATGTAGAAAATCCTAAAAATTGCCCCCCAAAATCAAAACAAAACCAAAACAAAACAGCTGTAAGTTGCTAATTTGTGTGTATAAAATTGGTGTTCTGCAAGATGAATAAGTTCTGGAGACTGGATGCACAGAATCCTGAGTCTAGATAACTTGACTGCACAGTACACTTAAAAATTTGCTGAGAGAGTGTATCTCATGGTAGGTATTCTTATCACAATACAAACTTTAAAAGTTGTATATGAGGACATTGGTACTGCTTTCATATTATTTATTATGAATGAATTTCCAAAAAAAGTGTTATCAGTAATGAGTTGAGGTAATGAGTAATTCATATACAGGAATAGCCTCAAGAGAACAAGAGGAAGAGATGCATTTAGAGTAGAAATCCTCACACTTTAGATGCATTTTAAATGTCTGGATAATGGAGTACTTAAAAAGGGATGTGTCTGTCTCTTCCCCCAACTATTGAGAATTAGTTCCTGAGTAAATCAAAGAACATTATTTTATCCAGCCCCGGTAGGTCCTGAGGTCCTTGTCTCTGGCATCACAGAATGGGTTAGAGTGCAGGGCTGGCGTAGAGCTCCTGAGACAGTAATGTGATGTTGTCCAAAGCTCCATGGGTGAGGAGAGCCACACCACAGGTGGGACCCAAGGAAAGAGCCCAGGAGCTGTGCTGGGCTCAGCACTGAGGAAGCAAGACCTGGGCCTGTGGATAGGGGGAGCTGCGCTAGAAACAAGGAAGGGCAGGAGGGAAGAGGGGTTGGAAGGAAAGTAGCCCTGGGATCAGAATGGCAGGGCTGTCCTTTGCCTATTCCCATTTGTCTCGCAGACCAAGTGTCCTCCAACCACCAAATGTCAAGTGACATGCGTGCCACATGAGTTTAGGAGGAAAGGCACTCTACACAACGCTCAACTACCAGGAGGTAGGGGCCATATCTTAACTTTTCTACTTATAAAAAGAGTCAGCTAGGCTGGGCACGGTGGCTCATGCCTATAATCCCAGCACTTTGGGAGGCCGAGGCAGACAGATCACATGAGGTCAGGAGTTTGAGACCAGCCTGGCTAAGTGACAAAACCCTGTCTCTACTAAAATTACAAAAATTAGTCAGGCATGCTGCTGGGCACCTGTAATCCCAGCTACTAGGGAGGCTGAGGCAGGAGAATCGCTTCAACCCGGGAGAAAGAGGTTGTAGTGAGCCGAGATTGCACCACCGCACTCCAGCCTGGGCGACAGAGCGAGACTCTGTCTCTAAATAAATAAATAAATAAATAGTCATCCACCCCGTGTAATTTTTTGTTTTAGCTCTGGGGTAAAATCCACCCCTGGGCTGTGGAAGCATCCAGTCACTTCTCAGACTGGGACGGTGTCTCTGGGGAAGACAAAGGTGGGTTCAGAAGAAGATGAGATTGCTGGGCCTTCTCCTGTGCCTGCTGACACCTCCCGAAGGTGAGCATCTCAGAGGCCAGACACGGGCTGTGGCAATAACTGTGATGTCCCATGACTGACAGGGACTGACTGTTCTTGTTCCCAGCTGTCCTGTCCCAGGTGCAGCAGCAGGAGTGAGGCTCAAGACTGGAGAAGCCGTGGCTGCCCCCTTCCTCACCTGGCACGACTCCGGATTCTCCATCACAGCCAGTGGTTACTGCGGAGGCCCGGTCCACCGGCCCCTAGACAAGGGGTTGCACTGGCTGAGGAGCATCGATTATAAGAGAAACACGAACAACCGCCGCCTCTCAAGAGCCTCATCTCCATCCAGAGACTCATCCAACAAGCAGCGCTCCCTGCGGCGGAGCTCCAGGAACCCACAGGACAGCCAGGTATTCCTGTGGGAGACACAGTGAGGGGATGCCGTGTGAACCCAGACAGGACCCTCCCTCCTGGGGGCCTGAGATGTGCAGGATGCACTCGACACTTGGGTCCACTGAAGAGCAGGCTCAGATGGGAAGTGGCGAGGACTTCTCCTTAGAATCTGAGGCTTTCTTTTCTCTAATTCTCAGATGTCCTCAGGGACATTTCATTCTCTTCTCTGTGGCTCTGATTTCCCCCTTTCTCACTGCAGGCAAAAAAGGATGAAATAACTTTCTCCACTGGCAGATAGGCTGTTTCAATTTCATAGAAACCTTCCCTTCATCCGGCTCCCACGTGGTCTGCTTTTTCCTTCATCTGCTTCCATGTGGTCTGCTTTCCTTCCTGAAAAACAGGTCATGTTCAGGATTCACACTTGCTCGAGAAATTCTTCCCTCAAACTCCAGTTCAGACCAGGCACACCCTCTCCCACATCTGTCCCCACGTGGACCCTTCCATGAGATGACCCCACCTGTCCCCAGGTGGACCCTTCCCTCAGACGAGCACACCTGTCCCCAGGTGGACCCTTCCCTCAAACAAGCACACCTGTCCCCACGTGGACCCTTCTCTGAGAGGAGCACACCTGTCCCCACGTGGATCCTTCCTTCAGATGAGCACATCTGTCCCCACGTGCACCCTTCCCTGAGACAAGGACACCTGTCCCCACGTGGATCCTTCCTTCAGATGAGCCCCCCTGTCCCCACGTGGACCCTTCCCTCAAATGAGTACACCTGTCCCCACGTAGACCCTTCTCTGAGAGAAGCACACATGTCCCCAAGTGGACCCTTCCCTGAGTCAAGCACACTTGTCCCCAGGTGGAACCTTCCTCCACACGAGCACACCTGTCCCCACGTGGACCCTTCCCTGAGACAAGCACACCTGTCCCCACGTGGACATTTCCCTCAGAGGGGCACACCTGTCCCCACGTGGACCCTTCCCTGAGACAAGAACACCTGTCCCCACATGGACCCTTCCCTTGGAGGAGCACACCTGTCCCCACGTGGACCCTTCCTTCAGACAAGCACACCTGTCTCCATGTGGACTCTTTGCTCAGAGGAGCACAGGTGTACCCATGTGGACCCTTCCCTGAGACAAACACACCTGTCCCCACGTGGCCCCTTCCCTGAGATGAGCTCATCTGTCCTCTTCCCCAAGGCGAGCACACCTGTCCCCACGTGGACCTTTCCCTGAGACAAGCACACCTGTCCCCACATGGACCCTTCCCTCAGAGGAGCATAACTGTCCCCATGTGGACCCTTCCTTCAGATAAACTCACCTGTCACCACGTGGACCCTTCCCTCAGAGGAGCACACCAGTCCCCATGTGGACCCATCCTTCAGACAAGCTCACCTGTCCCCATGAACCCTTCCCTGAGACAAGCACACCTGTCCCTACATGGACCCTTCTCTCGGATGAGCACACCTGTCCCCATGTGGGCCCTTCCCTGAGACTACCACACCTGTCCCCACGTGGACCCTTCCTTGAGACAAGCACACCTGTCCCCACTTCGATGCTTCTCTCAGATAAGCACAACTCGCCCCACCTGGACCCCTCCCTGAGACGAACTCACCTGTCGCTACGTGGATTCTTGCCTTAGACAAGCACCTCTGTCCCCACGTGGACCCTTCCCTGAGGGAATCACACCTGTCCCCAGGTGGACCCTTACCTCAGACAAGCATGCCTGTCCCCAGGTCAATCCTTCCCTCAAAAGAGCACACCTGTCCACGTGAGGACCCTTCCTTGAGACAAGCACTCCTGTCCCCACATGGACCCTTCCCTCAGACGAGCTCACCTGTCCCCATGTGGACCCTTCCCTGAGACAAGCACAGCTGTCTCCATGTGGAATCTTCCTTCAGACAAGCACACCTGTCCCCACATGGACCCTTCCCTCAGATGAGCTCACCTGTCCCCATGTGGACCCTTCCCTGAGACAAGCACGCCTGTCCCCATGTAGACCCTTCCTTCAGAGGAGCTCACCTGTGCTCAGACACCACCAGGGTCCTCAGACACTAATAGGGTGGCTCAGACACTAATAGGGTGGCTCAGACTCTAAGAGGGGGGCTCAGAAACCACCAGAAGGGCTCAGACACCACCAGAGGGCGCCCAGCAACCACGGAATGCTCAGAACCTACCGGGGGCGCTCAGGACCTACAGGGGTCGCTCAAGACCTGGCTCAGGAGCAGATGCAAAGTGAAGCTGAGGTTTCCGTTTTCTCTTTGGGGATTCCTTGTCCTGCCCTGCAAAAGCCTTGCTCAGCAGCTATTATTGTTTCTTCCCTGGAATTCCCCAGTTCCTCTCATCTGAAAAGGACTTAGAGCAGAAATCCCATTTAACTTTTCACACTTCATTTTCAGTCTCCTTCTAGTGATATTTCAGTAAAATATTAATAAGAAATAATGAAGCCACAGTCCAAATGTTAGCACCATGCAAAGATTCGTGTGTCTTCTCCACTCTGTCAGTTACGCCTTAGGAAACTCTTCTCTCAATCCACTGCTCAGTGTACACTATGGCATTGTGTTTTCTTCTTTGCTTTCATCTGCTTTGCAGGGAAATGAAGCACCATTTATTGGGACGTGTCCTCCATTTCTGATGGGCTCCCCGTGGTCTCCACCTCAGATGGTTTTGCCACCATCTTTAATCCGTTAATGCCTTCAATCGCCCTCACCATCCATGTAATGAAGCAATGAATGCCTTTACTTCATCTACTTGTGTCTCCATCAGTCAGTTCACTTCTCTCCATTCTCACAAAGGACAGCCACCCACTACTTCAGAGCCTCCTGCAGCCTTGGGTGGTAAACCTATTAAAAAGCCCCTGCTGTTTAGAAAGGGTGTGTATTGGAAACTTAATCCCAAATTCCATAGTGTCCAGAGGTGAGAATGTTAAGAAATGATTAGGCCGAGAGGGCTCTGCCCTCATGAAGCAATTAATGCCATTATCATCAGAGTAGGTTACTTATTGTGGTAGCAGATTAGTTACTACAGGCCTGGGTTCCTCATTAAAAAATGAGTTTAGCCCCCTTTCCATCCTTTGCACATGCTCTCCTGCCTTCCACATGGGCATCACAGCAAGAAGGCTCTTGCCAGATGCTAGCACCTTGACATTGACTTCCCAGCCTCTAGAGCTGGGAGAAAATAAATTTCTTTTCCTTACACATTAGCCAGTGTGTGGTATTCACTCATTGCACCACAAAGTGGACTAAGACAAAAAATCAGTATCAAGAGGTGGGGCTGTTGTGATAACAAATATCCCAAAATGTAGAAGTGGAAGTAGTAATGCACAGAGACTGGAATAATTTGGAGGATCAGGTTATAAAAAGTCTAGATTGCCATGACTAGAACACTAGGGGTATTCTTTTGAGGACTCAGAAGAAGACAGCTGTGAGGAAATTCTGAAACTTCTTAGAGATTATTTAGGTGATGATCATTAGAATGTTGGTAGAACCGTGGACAATAAAGGCCGTTCTGATGAGGTCTCAGGAGAAAAAGAAGAATAGCTCATCGGAAAATGGAGCAAAGGCCATCCTTCCCTTAAAGTGGCAAGGAATGTGGCTGAATTGTGCTCATCCCTAGGTCTTTCTGTAAAGTGGAAGTTCAGAGCCATGAGTGAGGATATATGGTGGGAGAAATTTGAAGCAAATCTATGGCCTCACTTCTAGCAGGCACTTTAGGACTCTGTTCCCTGTGTCCAGGCACAGCACTCCTTGGCTGCCCATGATGTGGCTCAGGAGGACCTAGGTGTGGCTCAAGCCATCACTTTAATGGTACAAGTCATCAACTTCCATGGCATCCATGTATTGCTAATTCTGCAGGTGTGCAGAATACCACGAGGGCATGGCTTTCTCCACCTAGATTTCAAAGAATGCTGTGGACAGCCTAAGGTCTCGGGCAGTGAGTTGTTGCAGAGACAGAGTCACCACACTGGACCCTTAGCACAATGCCAAGCAGAAATATGGGTTTGGAGGCACCACAAAGAGTTTCCAGTCAGCCTAGGAGAGCTAGAGGCCTGAGAGTCCCACCTGTGAGAGGGGCTGAGTGGACTGAACCCAGAAAATCCATAGAGGCAAGACTGCTGGAGGCCTTGGGGGCCCTTCCCCCTCCCCAGTGTGCACAAGATGCCGTCAAAGAGGATGATTTTCCAGCTATAAGACTTTTTTTTATTATACTTTAAGTTTTAGGGTGCATGTGCACAATGTGCAGGTTAGTTACATATGTATACATGTGCCATGCTGGTGTGTGCACCCATTAACTCGTCATTTAGCATTAGGTATATCTCCTAAAGCTATCCCTCCCCCCTCACCCCACCCCACAACAGTCCCCCGAGTGTGATGTTCCCTTTCCTGTGTCCATGTGTTCTCATTGTTCAGTTCCCACCTATGAGTGAGAATATGCGGTGTTTGGTTTTTTGTTCTTGCGATAGTTTACTGAGAATGATGATTTCCAATTTCATCCATGTCCCTACAAAGGACATGAACTCATCATTTTTTATGGCTGCATAGTATTCCATGGTGTATATGTGCCACATTTTCTTAATCCAGTCTATCGTTGTTGGACATTTGGATTGGTTCCAAGTCTTTGCTATTGTGAATAGTGCTGCGATAAACATATGTGTGCATGTGTCTTTATAGCAGCATGATTTATAGTCCTTTGGGTATATACCCAGTAATGGGATGGCTGGGTCAAATGGTATTTCTAGTTCTAGATCCCTGAGGAATCACCACAAGGACTTCTACAATGGTTGAACTAGTTCAAAACCCAACAAGGGAAAAAAACATTAAGTCTCAGCTATAAGACTTAATGTTTTTTTCCTCTGTTGGGTTTTGAACTAGGCACTGCTTTCTCCTTCCCTGTCTCTGAGCTTTGGAATGGGAATTTCTATCCCATACCTGCCCCATTGTTCACTGTATTTGAAAGTAGATAACTTGTTTTGACTTTATAGGCTCACAGATGGAAAAAATTTATATCAGGCTAAATTGTGCCTTGAGTCACACTCACATCTGATTTAGATGAGACTTTAGACTTCAGACTTTTGCACTGATGCTGGATAAGACTTTGGAGACAATTGGGATGGAATGAATGTAGTTTGCATTGTGATAAGGACATAAATTTTGATATTAGGAATGGAATGCTATGACTTAAATGTGTCTCCCAAAGTTTAGGATTTGGAAAAAATCTTTAATGCAACAGTGTTGAGAGGTGGGACCTTTATTATGTGATTAGGTCATGAAGGCTCTGTCCTCATGAATGGATTAATGTCACTGTCATTGGAGTGGGTTAGTTATTACAGGAGTGAATTTCTAATAAAAGATAGTCTCCTTTCTCTCGTGGACAAATGATCTCTTGCTCACCCACCTCTGCTGTGAGACGACACAGTGAGAAGGCCCTTGTGAGATGTCAGTGCCTTGATATTAGACTTCTCTGACTCAAGCACCATAAAGTATAAATTCCTTTTCTTTAGAAATTGCCCAGTCTCTGGTATTCGGTTATAGTAACACAAAGACAGACTGAGACTAAGCCATTGTAACATGTGTGAGGTGATATCTCATCGTGGTTTTAATTTGCATTTCCCTGATGATTAGTGATGTTGAGCATTTGACTCTTTATGTTAAGTGAAATAAGCCAGGTATAAAAAATTACTCCATAATCTCACTTACACATGCAATCTAAAAATGTTGAACTCAGAGAAGTAGAGAGAAGAATGGTGCCAACCAGGGGCTGGTGTCAGGGGCATGTGAAAGCTGAGGCATTGGTGAAAGGGTACAGAGTTTTGGTTTGACAGAAGGAATTAGTTTGAAGATCTATTGCACAGCAGGGTGACTTCCATGGTACTAATGTACTATATACTTGAAAACTGATAATAGAGTAGATTTTACACGTTTACACCATAAAAAATAAGTATGTGAGGTGATGGGCATGTTTATTTACTTGATTTAATAATTTCACAATGCCTGCATATGTCAAAACATCACGTCATACCACCATAATATATGAAATAGAATATGTTTTTCTAGTAAGTGTGATGCCTCTGTTTCTCTTTTTTTTTTGGAACAAAACAATAAACACCTTTATTACATGGGTGAAGACAAAACAAGGATTTATTTGCCCTTCCGGGCCTTGATTTTCCTAAGATAGAACTCCAACTCTTTGCCCTCTAGCACATACCCATCTGCTCAGCCACACTGTCCTGGCCTTGAAGCAATGCATGCAAGAAGCTTGCCCTGCTGGAACTGCTCCCCCAGGAGACTGCTGATTTTGGCATTCTTTTTCCTTTCATGATATTTCTTCTGAATTTTTTTAGATCGCTTTTTGTTCAAAATCTCTTCTTCCTCAGGAGTCAGCTTGGCTCCCTTCTTGCAGCCCAGGGGCGGCGCATAGTGGGACTCGTACCACTGTCGGTACAGTGTGCTGTCAATGAGCACAATGCAATTCTTCACCAGGGTCTTGGGACGAACCAGCTCGTTATTAGATGCATTGTAGACAACATCGATGATCGTTGTTTTATGAGCACAACATTCTGAGCCCCAGGAGAAATTCCTCACGTCCAGCCTCAGGGCACAGTATTTCTTGTTACCTCCCCACACACGGACTGTGTGGATGCGGCGGGGGCCAGTCTTGGTGTTGGCAGCTGGGTGCCCCAACTCATACTTCCGCTTCTTGTGGTAGGGCTTTCTCTTGTCCCTGGTTTTGTGGCACTTGTGCCAGTTGTCCCAAGAGATGTCCATCGCTCGGCACTGGCTGGAAAGAGGGCCTCTGTTTCTTTAACAACAGTTTCTGGAGATTGTTTTTCCCTTGAACAATGTTTCCTCTCTGCTGTCTTTACACAGTTTTCCTTTCCCAAGGGTTGATTTAAGACAGTGACAATTTATCTATTCTGTATCTGGTAGTTTCATGGAGAAATTTAATGAATAGCCACTTGAAACCATGTGGTGCTACTGAGACACCATCTGAAGGAGACAGATTTTCTGAGTGTAGGCCACAACCATATGTTAACACATTTTAAATTCAAAATCAGGGTTTAAATTTTGATATTTTACAATGGCTTCTTTGATTCCTTCCCAAGATCTAACCATTGAGCGTGTGAAAAGGGCTGGGACTCAGTTTACTGCTGTGCTTGGCATGATGATGTCCTGCAGAAATTCCTTTGGCTTTCTACATGTAGCTCAGCCTCCATATCAGCCAGCTCGCTTGGAGGTCAGAGTACTTCTCAAAGATCCTCAGTGTGTTGTTTCATTTTGAGAGGTTTCCAGCCCTTGTGAGACACCCCTTGGTTTTACAATCATCGCAAAGTTGTTTACGATTCCAAAAACATACCTGCCATCTGTCCATATGTTTGTTCTGCAGCTTTTGATTTCCTAAAATGCTGTAGTAACTGCAATAAGTTCTACCATCTGGATTAATTTTCACCTCAGATGGAAGAGTATATTTTAAGATAAAGATAAAGTAGTAACAGTATATTCTCCTCGGTAATATCCATTTCTATATTTTGAGCTATGGTCCATCAATAAATAATGTTCTGTCAGGCTCCTCAATGGAGTGCCTGAACATCTAAGGAAGGTACAGAAGGTACAAAACAGAAGTTAAGGTACAAACCATGGTGAACACAAGCTTGCTATGCTCCCATGTCTCCTGTCTGTCTTACTGTGCACCTGACACTCATTTTAACCTCACCAGGAAGTCAGTTAACTCTCAATCAGTTTATTGTAATGCCTCTAGGTAATTATATGTGGCAGTTTCAGCAGAAATGAAGAAACAACTTCACTAGAGAATCTAATACAGAAGAATGCAAGTGGCCCTGGGCTTGTTTTCATAAAAGCAGCATGCACCAGGCAGTTGATTCTCTTGGCTGTCGGCACTGAACACTCAGCATGCTGGCTTCGTCCCCTAAATAAGCTTCATCATGCATGGATAGGCTGGCAGCAATCCCGAGGCCATATGCAGATACACAGCCAACTGGGAAATGGGACACAATTCTTCTCCACTCCTCCTCTGAAGAATGGTCTGACAATGCCCTCTTCAGTTCCTTCCCTCTGCCACCCTGACCAGGACTATGCCATATGTGCACAGAGACACAAAATTCCTGATGGGAAGAATGAGGCTGGATCAACCAGACTAGCGGTTTCTCACTGAGGTAATGTGAGGTCAACTTCTAGGGTGGACAATTCAGGAAATTATCCAGCAGTTTTGTAATTGATGGCTATGGGAAAATGAACCACTGAGATGAGTAATTACTTATATTCCATTATTCCATGTGAGAAACAGACATCACAGTTCACCATAACTAAATTTTCATAACCTAAATTGATTACTTTAAATTTCTTCCTACATCTTCACTTAAGAATTTTTAACCATGAATGTGTCTTACCTATATTCCCAATATTTAAAATTGGGCTGTCAAGAGAGTCTAGAGAATTCGAGAACTAAGAACAGTGAAACTCCTGTATGTTCAGCAGCTCCCAAAGCAACACAATATTCCCCAGGAACACTGTTCTGTGCTTCAGCACAAATCATGCTTGTGTATTTCCTAATGGCTCCAATAGTGACCCTCCATTCCCATCAAACATTTGGCCTCCCCTTTCTCCACTCCCCTCCATTCATACATTATACTCTCAGCTCTGTCTAGGGTATCATAAAAGCCAGCAGACGGACCCTCCTGATCTCCTGAACGTGAAACCTAACACTATCATGCGATCGGCTCCTCTTGGCATAGTGACCTTCAAAGGCATCTCATTTGAATAATTACCTTTTTTTCCCTTCTGTAACAAAGTGTTTCTTTCCATTGTGCCTTCCCATAAGCATTTTAACATAATTTACTGTCCGACTACAGTTATTAATACACACAAATGCCACAACCTCTTTCTAGCCCAGGAGACCTGATTAATTCTTCTCTGGGGATGAGCACACCCTAGAAACACATCCCATTCACATAAACACGGGCACAACGATGACATGTTCTTGAGTCTACACCATTCTCCGTCCAACTCCACGAGCCCCTGAAGACCAAGACAGGCTCTTTCATGCCTGTGCAAGCTCTGGCCCAGGGACAGCCTGCTGAGGAATGGGCTCAGCTGGGTCTGGGTGCTGGGTTCATCTCTTCCCCTCTCCTGTCCCAAAGCAGGTCCATCACCCTGCTCAGGTCTGAACAGGAGTGTCCAGGTTTGTCTGGCCATCCGACTTTTTCAATGTATAGAAGCTCTCCTATTACCTACTGTATTCATTTTATAGGGCTTTTATGACAAAATACCACAGATCGGATGGCTTACAATACAAAACCAATTTCCTCACACTTATGGAGGATGAAAGCCTAAGATCAAGCTGCCAGCTGGGTGGGTTTCCTCTGAGGTCTCGCTCCCTGGCGTGCAGATGGCGCCTTCTCGCTGTTCTGTGGTAACATGGCCGTCCCTCGGGGCGTGTGCACCCCCCCTCCTGCTTCCCCTTCTTATAACAACAGTCAGATTGCATTAGGGCCCCACTCCAGGAATCTCACTTTAACTTATTTAGCTCTTTAAAAGACACTAATCCAAGTATGATTTCATTCTGAAGGACCAAGGGTTGGGACTTCAGCACATGAATTTAGGAGGGACACAGTCTCCCCTAGCAGCCTCCTCCAGGGATGTCAAATAAAAGGAATAAAAGGACACTGATGCTCCAGAGGGCCTTGAAAGCTTGCAGCTGCTTTGTTGTGGTGGGACATGGGTAAGCCCGCACCTTATCTATGATGGCAGATGGAATGACTTTAGTTTTACCAAACCAGATGACACCAACTATTTGACTGATAAGCCTGGACCCTGGATTTTGTCTGTATTAACCTCCCATCCTCTGTTCAGCAAGTGAGACAGCAAGACAGGGGCTGCAATTTATAAGCTGAAAAAAGACTCAGAAGTTACCATGATAACACCAATGTAGTGGAAAACATGTATCCCCTTTGGGTCAGCCCATCAACTGAGGTTGGAGGTCACTAGGCTGTGAGAGTTGGGCTGTGTAAATATCCCTGGAACAAGACAGTAAAAGTCCATTGTTCTTTTTAGGTTAATGCAAATTGATCTTGAATGTGGGGCAGCAGAAATGCTGAAGAAGGTATTGACTAAACTGATAACGAAATGCTATGTGGCTAACACCTCTCCTATTCTCGTCAGACTGGAGGAGATATTAGGAACAGCTGCATTCACTCGGGAGACCACCTTATTTAACTCCCAGTAATCTACTGTCATTCTCCATGTCCCAACTGGCCTCTGCATGGGCCATGCAGGTCTGTTGTAGGAACTGTGCAGTGGCCTCCTAATGCCTACCTGGGCTAACTCCTTAACAATCTTCATGATTGGATCATCTTCCCCTCCCCAGGGCGGGTGGTGTTGCTCCAGCTGTGGGACTCCCCATGGGTTGGCAGCTCTACCGGCATCCAGTTTGCCTTCTGCTTGGTCACATGCGTCACCACTTTAACTCTCAGTTGGAATTCCCTGGCAGTTGTTTGGAGGGTCACGCCTAAGAAGATATCCATTCTCATGTGTTCTAAGATGGAAGCTATGTATACTAAACAGGGTCTGGGTGGCAGTCCCCCAGGTCGTATCACTAGTTCAACCTGTCTGACTTCTGTGGCCCTTCCATAATCACCTATTGCTGCTATGGGCCCAGATAACTGGTAGGTGTTGCCAGTTAGAGCACATTTGTTGTCTGGCCACGCTGACTGGCTCCTTGGCTGTCTCTCTTCCTTTGGTGCCATTGTTTTTCATCACAGTAGGGTGCATCCCTTGCTTACTCAGTTTCTTCTTTTCTCCTAAGTCAGCAACTACCTGGGGCACATGAAATGTTGGCTGCCCTCCCAGGGGGCTTAACATGGAAATCAGTGCACCATGCCATTTGGTAGGCACTGAATACATAATTGTAGCTTTTATTTTGCAGTAAACAATTCATTGTTGGGACTTCAATAATTCTCAGCATAATTAGCATGCCTCATTTCAACTCCCAGAAGATGTCCTGCAACTCTTCTATAGTCTGCCATTGAGAAGGAGCTGTGTGGGCATCTTCCTCATTGGACCTGGCCCCGCTGGAGCCTGCAACCACTTACCATAAAGGTGCCATCATAGGGCTGGATGGTTTGTGATGGGTGCCATTTTACTCATCTTGAGTCCAGAAAGTATAACACTCTCCACCCCCTGTCCCATAGAGAAGCCACCCTGTGATCCACTCTCTCCCCTTGTGTCTGAATCCAAGTCTAAGCTCCCCCAATTCCACAGTGGTGGCATCCCACATCGTGGTTCACTGCCTTCTCTTAGGTGGGGGAAAGTTCTGTGGGGCTAACTTCTGCTGGCACAGTTGGCCCACTTTTATGTTGGTGGTGACCACCACAAGTACCATTTGGCTACAGACTGTGTCCTGGTATTCCAAGGCTTTTGTGTCTGGAAGGCATCCTTTAGCCAGCCTGCTAAAGGTTGTTCTGGATGTGGAGTGGCCCTCTGTCACATCCTCCACTTGTAAGGCATGACATGTAGTGCGGTTGTTACTCCTAAACAGTATATCTCACTTCAGCTTCCTTCTGTCTTTGAGACCAGGGTCTTAGGGACACACACTTATGTCCTTGCCTTTAACACAGTCCCCACCTAAACCCCTCAGGGTAACTGACTACATCCAATTCACAGGGCTGTCCCTGCACTAGAACTCCCAAGGTTTGTATTCATTTCACTGTGACTTTAGCTTCTTCAGAGCCCTCATCCTCCCTTTTGGAACAGTCGCAGTGGGGCACCTTCTTGACTAAGTGCCATGGGGGCCTAAGGAGTTTGCCGAAATGGGGAATAAAGGATCGCCAATGTCCCAGGAGGCCTTGGAAGGTTTCCAACTGCTTTGGTGTGTTGGGACATGAGTAGACCTGCATCTTATCTTATCTATAATGAAATATGGAATAACTATAGTCTTATGTAACCAGATGACACCAAGTATTTGACTGATAAGCCTAGACCCTGGACTTTGTCTGCATTGACCCCCCCATCCTCTGTTCACCAAGTGAGACAGCAAAGCAGGGGCTGCAGGGCAAGAACCTTTATGGAGTCATCCTAACCTTCATCTCCTTCCCACTGGAGCTCTACATCGGACACCAGGACTTAGGCTTCCAGGACGATGTAGTCATAATAGTCCTAACGCATTGGTGTGGCAGTCGGCAACACTTTAAATGGCCTACCAAATAAACAATGGTCTCCAATTTGCTATCCTATCCCTGCAGGCGGCATCTCATTATAGTTACAGCTGTTCTTGTGGCTGACACACCCTAGCCTGTGCAGTGAGCTCTGCCTCAGTGGTTGCTCAGAGTGCAGTCAGGAGTGGCCAACAGCTGCGACAGCTCAGGCATCTGACTGTCACTTTGTCACATTGTCACATCCACCTCAGGCAACAGGTCCTCCAGAACTTTTGGCATTTTGGAGGCATCCCTGTACACTTGCAGCAGGCCCTATCCATCAAGGATTGCAGCTGTTGGGCCCACAGAGATGTGCATGGCCTGCCTGGGATTTCCCCACAGGTCTCCCCTTCCTTGACACCGTTGTCTAAGAACTTGTGGGATTTTCTTTGACCTTGTTCTGGGCCTCCCAATTGTCATGCTAGACCCCTATTGACTGTAATAGGCATGGCACCATGTCCAAAAGGCTAAAGAGGAGACCTGGAGCCCATGAACAAGATCTAGGGTGTATTGAGGACTTCCATACAATGTGGCCCAGGAAGAGTGTGTTGGACAGGAAAACCACTACCATTTGTAAAACATGTGTAGTTTATATTATGATTTTCACTTAGCACCCTCTACCTAGCAACCTCCAGATTTAACAAAGAGCCTCAATCACCTGGACATCCTGTGTTCCAAGGGATAGGCCAGGGCTTCAGACGTCCTTCACAGACAAGGAATAAACTTCTGGGTGGACAGCTCCTGGATTTCTTAGCTCAGAGCTCTGAACATACATTCTTCTTAAACTATAGGGTCATTCTCACAGTGTGCTTAAATTAATGCTGCCAGGCATTTCTGGCATACATAGATCTGAACACGCACCTCGTAAAACAATGTATAAAAAAGTGTTCATCAAGACTTTGTATTAGGAATATGTATATTTAAACAACCATTAAATACTGCTACTCATTTACTATAATATTACAATGGCTGCACAGCAAAGCATTGGTGAATACTGACAAGGCTCCAGAAAAGAAAGTCTTATTCACTGTTGGTAGGAACATAAAATGGCACTTCCTTTTTGGAAAATATTTTCATGATTTCTTTGGAGTTAAACATGTTAATTGAACAGATGACTCTAAGGTACTTTATTCAACTGATTTTTTTGTTTTGTTTTGTTTTGTTTTGTTTTGAGATGGAGTTTCGCTCTGTCACCCAGGCTGGAGTGCAGTGGCGCGATCTCGGCTCACTGCAACCTTCGCCTCCCTGGTTCAAGCAATTCTCTGCCTCAGCCTCCCAAGTAGCTGTGATTACAGGCATCCACCACCACGCCCAGCTAATTCTTTGTATTTTTAGTAGAGAAGGGGTTTCGCCATCTTGGCCAGGCTGATCTTGAACTCCTTACCTTGTGATCCACCTGCCTCGGTCTCCCAAAGTGCTGGGATTATAGGCATGAGCCACCGTGCCTCACCTATTCAACTGATTTTAATACTTACTTCTACACAGATACTTTCATGGGAATGCCGGTATCAGCTTTCTTCAGTAGAGCTTTTCCTCCTCCATGAATTTTGCTTATAGGGTGATAATTATATAAACAATTCCCATATAATTGGGCCAGGCGCAGTGGCTCACACCTGTAATCCCAGGACTTTGGGAGGCTGAGGAGGGTAGATCACCTGAGATCAGCAGTTCGAGACCAGCCTAGCTAACATGGTGAAACCCCGTCTCTACTAAAAATACAAAAATTCGCCGGGCGTGGTGGCGGGTGCCTGTAATCCCAACTACTCTGGAGGCCAAGGCAGGAGAATTGCTTGAACCTGGGAGGTGGAG
Organism: Homo sapiens; assembly: GCF_000001405.40. Lineage (NCBI taxonomy): Eukaryota > Metazoa > Chordata > Mammalia > Primates > Hominidae > Homo > Homo sapiens. Next base: position 21,717,523 of record NC_000015.10, read on the forward strand.
GTTGCAGTGAGCTGAGACTTTGCCGTGTCACTCCAGCCTGGGTGGCAGAGTGAGACTCTGTCACAAACAAACAAACCAAAAAAAAAAAAAAAAACACCAAAAAACTGAAAAAACAAACTTCCCATATAATTAGAGTATATACTTCTATTGTTACTTTTTTCAATTTATTAATGACATACTGTAAACAACATTAAAAATAATAATCCCTTTCATTTCTCAGCCCCAGCACAGCTGCCTCCTCCCTGGGGTTTCTGACACTCTCAGGATGTGGGTTTTCACACTGTGTCTCTCGCACAGTAATACGTGGCCGTGTCCTCAGATCTCAGGCTGCTCAGCTCCGTGTAGGCTGTGCTGATGGACGTGTCCCTGGTCATGGTGACTCTGCCCTGAAACTTCTGTGCATAGTTTGTGCCACCACTGTTAGGGTTGATCCGTCCCATCCACCCAAGCTCTTGTCCAGGGGCCTGTCGCACCCAGTGCATATAGTAGTCGGTGAAGATGTATCCAGAAGCCTTGCAGGAGACCTTCACTGAGGCCCCAGGCTTCTTCACCTCAGCCCCAGACTGCACCAGCTGCACCTGGGAGTGGGCACCTGTGGAGAGGACACAGGAGTGGATGAGATCTCCCTGGACTGGACTCAATCTCTTTCTCATCACTGGGACTAGGGAGCCTCCTACCTGTAGCTGCTGCCACCAAGAAGAGGATCCTCCAGGTCCAGTCCATGGTGAGGAGCTGAGCTCTCAGGGGATTCTCTAGAGGACGGATGTGGTTGTTGGGTGATGCTCTCAGGGCAAGGACAGATCTGTATTTACTTCAGTAAATCTCAGGTTATTTGCATATTCATGAGGGGTACTATTTCATAGCTTCATAGCTCTAGACTTGATCCAAGATGAGAAAGAGAACACACATTATTTATGGGCCATGCAACAGTGGGACGCTGAAGCCCTGTCCTAATCCTTGTTTAATGATGTGTGTCCCCTTGTATGCCCAGAACTCTGCTAAAATAAATTGTCTCTGCTGAAAACAAGTTCCCACAAAACATGGTCCTCCAAGTGAACCCATACTTAAATGGCACTTTGACACCTTCATACTTTTCTGGGCTTTGCTTTCTGCCTGTCTTACTACTGTCTCTGCTAAGATTGGCAAGCACTGAATTAATAAAACTATCCCTTTTCTCCATCTCCTAACTATTAAGATATCTGAAAATCCTAGAAATTTCTCCTTTTAAATGTGATTCTCATTGACTTGTTAGGTTAGATAAATCCTACAAATAGTCTTTACTAAATTCTTGTTTAACTTATTAAAGCATGTTTGTTCAAGAAAAGGAAGACATCAACCCCTGGGAGGAACCCCTCCCCAGCCTCCTGTGCACCTGCTCTTGGGCTGCAAGTCTGTGCTGCGGGGAGGCCCGAGCGCTCCCTGCCACCCACACCTTGCACTGCAGGGAGCTTCCTGTTGGGTCTCACAGAGCATTTTTCTCTCAGCCTCTGTAGCTCACTAGGAAGTGACTGTGCCCTGGCTCAGAATGCTCCTTCAGTGACAACATGAGCGGATGACACCACCTCTTGAAATAGTGAATGGGCCTTTGGAAACCCAATGTCCTCTTCAGGGAGGCTCCAAGAGAAGAATCACTAAAATCACCAGGGAGTCCCTTTCCTGGAGGTCTAGATGCACTGGATCACTGGAAACAAAGGGAGGCTAAAACTCTGGGGGGGGTTGGAGGTGGCTCTTTTCTCAATTTGGCTCTTGCAGACAAATACTGCATCTGAGAATACCTGAAGCTGCAGATGGATGTGGATTAAAGCTCACTCCACGTCCACTGTTTCAATAACTCCTACTCAAACATACAGAAGCACAAACACAAACATACTCACACACACTGTGGCTGATTTTCACAGTTATGGGCCCCTAATGTTTCCTTCTTCATAGTATCTTACTCATGGGAAGTGCTGCCGACCCTGACCCTAGGCCTCAGCATGTGACTTTCTTTCTCAAACAGATCTAAAGCAATCACACTGACCTCTTTAATCCACATTAATGATGCTGTTGAGGAGGTAATGTGTGGGGCAGGGGAGCATGGTATGTTCTTACAGTTGACTCTCCCTGGTTTGGTTGCCCTCTTCACCTGAGCACCTTTACAAGGAATCTCCAGTGATACAGCTGATTTTCTCTCTTTCCTCCCTTCCGCAGATGCTGCACCCAGGGCTACCACCTTGAGTCTGACTCCTCTTGGCTAATTTTATCATTTGCATGATAGAGGAAGGCTGAGGAGGAGGGGTCTGTAATATGGAAGTACTTCCTTCCCCCACATAAACTAAGATTTTAGAGAACACCTTCCCTCGGATGAGCTTTCTAGAAAAGTCTTTTTGTGCATTTTTTCTCAGTGATTACTCCTCCCCAGTTCGTGGCTATAGGGAATCTATTTTAATCGCTTCCATGAGAACCTGAAGGCCCTGGAGGGCAAGTCCACACAAGTGTGGGGTGTACAGCCTCTAGGAGCGCTCACCTTCCCCCTAGTCCACACTTGTCCTCCAGACATTCAGCGTAATCACCAGGTAAGTGTTCTCACCAATGTGTTTCCAGGAGCTTCTCTTCCAAGTCAGCAAGTCTCTGCTGTAATTGTGGATGTGCCTATCTCTACAGCTTTTGGAGGGAGTAGTTTTTTCAGCAATTTCAGTTCTTAGATGGATTAAAAAATACTTGATATTTAGATGGTTTGGAGATATATATATATATGGTTTGGATATGGTTGGATAATCACTCTATTTGGGGAAATAAGAATGCAGATATATATATATATATGCTTTGGATATTTAGATGGTTTGGAGATCTCATATATATATATCACACACACACATATATATATACACACACACATATATATATACACACACACACACACACACATATATATATATATATATAAATTTTTCTTTTGAGATGGAGCCTCACTCTGTCGCCCAGGCTGGAGTGAAGTGGTGTGATCTCAGCTCACTTCAATCTCCACCTCCTGGGTTCAAGCAATTCTCCTGCCTCAGCCTTTCAAGTAGCTGGGATTACAGGCTAGTGCCACCACACCTGGCTAATTTTTGTATATATTTTTTAGTAGAGACGGGGTTTCACCATGTTCACCAGGCTGGTCTCAAATTCCTGACCTCAAGTGATTCCTCTGCCTTGACTTCCCAAAGTGCTGTGATTACAGGCATGAGCCTCTGTGCCCCTCTGGTTCAGATGTTTTTTGATGTAGAAATGGAGCTAATGACTTTTAAGATCATCATATATGTGATCAAAACCCTGAAGTCTCCTAAGAGGTCATGTGTGTTCTGGTACTGGAAGCAGAACCCTAATCTCCCTACATAAAAGTGGCATCTGGACAGACACAACTGAACACGTAGGGACAAAGGGAATGGCACAGCAGGACACTTTTGAGGAAGTTTCAACAGTTTCCTTTTTATTCAGAGGAAGCTGCAGCAGGTGAAAGCTGGTTATACCTCAGGTGATGTCATTTTCTGGAAGGCTGTTCTTGCTCTCGTGCTGAATCAAGTGGATGCACCTGGGCCCTCACACCTGGGACAGGAACTCTCATTCCCTAACACAAGGTGCTCGGTGAGAAAGTTTTTTCCAGCTGAAGTGCAGAGAAAGGGGAGAGAAGGAGTTGTCTTTGGTGTCCCAGGATGTGTGTCAACTCTAGGATAAAGTCACCTTTGAGGGGCGCTGGTCTACCTGAGGGGATTACATCAGTTCTGCCTTCAATAACCTGTGGCTGTGGTCAGGAGAGTGACTCATGCCCTTCTGCTCCTCCTACCTGCCTTTCATTAAATGTGCAATGAATGAGTGATCCCTCACCAGAGAGTGTCGTGGTCTAAACATCATGATCTCACACAATAACATCCCCACGCCCAATCTCATATACATTATTGACCCCACTCAATCAGCAATTGGCAAATAATTTGCTCTTGTAGACTTGGTGAATACATTTACTCAGCGTTCATGTCAACAGCCTCTCAGCCACATTTAGCAAAGTGATTGACAAAAATGAACATGTCTCTATCAGCAAATAGAAAATATAAAATCACCAAGTTGGTTGAAACGTACACTATTAACTCTGAACAAATATAATAATTAATTAGGCATATCACAATGGCACACGTTTGTTTTACCCTAAAACTATCCCCTGAGCTTTGCCAAGTCAGTCTCTTGTCTTTCCCCAAAAGCCCTGCCTATCACAAACCTGTTTTTTAAATCCTTTTAATTTTACTGTATTTAGCAGGTCTCATGAATGGAATTGTACAATACTTAGTCTCTTTTGTCCATCTTCCTTCACTTAGAAAAAATGTTAAAATGTTGTTTTCTGAATTAATAACCCATAAGTTTTTATGACTGAATAGTATTCCACTGTGTGAGTATACAAATATTTGAGAATCAATTCTGTTGAAATACATCATGTTTACTTTTGTGTTTGGTAATTATGAATATCGGTTTATGACAATCGATACTGAACAATTGTCTATATTCTTATTTTCAGATAACATTTTTTCTTGGTGAGGTGTTTGTTCAGATTTTCAGTCATTTTAGAATTCTGTTTATATTATGCTTTCTGTTGAGTTTTACAAATTCTTTTTATAGCCTAGAGACAAGACCTTACAAATAGTAAAAAGAAATAGTTTCTGATTTTGAATAGATTCAATATACATACATAATTTTTAATTGTTATAAGCACATAATAGTATATATATTTCTATTTGTTGGGTATATGTGATGTTTTGGTACAGGCATACAATGTGTAATGAACAAAGTAAAAAAAACTACAATAAATCTATAAAACATTGATGAAAGAAATTAAAGAGGACACAAGATGGAACAATATTCCATGTTTATGAATTCAAAGAGTCAATATTGTTAAAATGTCCATTATACTTAAAGCAATCTACAGACTCAATACAATCCCTATGAAAACAACAATGATATTCTTCACAGAAATTAAAAAAAATCCTAAAATATATGTGGAAAAACAAAAGATGCAGAATAGCCCAAGCCATTCTGAGCAAAGAGAACACAACTAGAGAAATCACATTACCTGACTTCAAAATTTATATTTTTATTATTGTTAATTTATTTGATCTAAAAGTTATGTTTCAAACAATGAGAATAACAATACGTTAAATGAGTCTGATGTATGTATACTTGAAATTAATGGCATCAATTTTATGAATGATGGAGGTAATTGAGAATGTTCTGTGTAAGGCACCTGCACTAGATTTGATGTGGAATAATGTCATTTTGAAGATGGAGACAGATTAGTTACACACGCATATTGTAGGCCATGGTGCAAAGCAGGCTCACCATGCAAAAGTGACCAAAACAAGGCCACCTGGGTTGTACACCTCAGCAGCTGTGTTACCCACTGGGACAAAGCTCTGAAGGACATCCTGCCTCCAGGGAAGAGAAGAACAAAGCCCAGGGTGTCCCTAGCTGTTTTTCCCTAAATCAAGATTTTATATCCTCTAGGAGAAACAGGAACAAACCTGAGCTGTTGCAGACAGACAGGATGTCCTTGGCTCTGTGCACGTTCGGGAACAAGATCAACTTGTTCTGAGTCTCTATTTAGTGATTTAGGTTTGGGGAAATAAGAATGCAGATCTGAAATTATGGAGCTTTCAGAAGGTTTTCTTGTGTCTCAGTGCAATTTCTTCATGTGTTATTTTGGCTTATGGTATTGATAGGCCCACAAAAACTAGATTTAATTCAATAATTCAAGTGATAGAGCAAAATTGAAAGAGCTGAGGGGGTTTCTAGCAGGATTTAGAAAGTTTAAAATACTTCATGTTAGAAAATGTATTTGCTGGACATTGATGGGACTGGAGTACAGAAGGATGTGGGGGAGTCCAAGGATTGTGCTTTCACACACACCACAATGACTTCTGCTGTCCCTTCCCTCCCTCCCTCCCTCCCTCCCTCCCTCTCTCTCTCTCTTTCTTTCTTTCTTTCTTTTTCTTTCTTCTGTTTCTTTCTTTCTCTCTTTCTTTCTTTTCTTCTTTTCTTTCTGCTGAGTGAGCACAGAAGTACACACAGATATAAAATTCACTGAATCACCATTAGCTGTTCTTCCTTGTGCCTCCCACCCAGTTCAGGAGGAATTGCAGGTCCTACAGAATTCTAGTTCTAAGAGAGTGAGAATCTTTATATGGCTGATTATTCCAGAATTTTCTATAATGATACAGCTGTTGTTTCTTTTAGCCAGTTTTTATTGAATTCTATTCTTTTCTATTGAGTCGTAAAACTTATTTCTATATTCTGTTGCAAGTTTGTTTTAAGATATATTATATATATAATATTCTTGAAATCGGAAAGGTTCTGTTCATTTTCTTAATGTAATTATTTAAATATGAAACTTATTTTATTAGAAATTACAAATAATTTTTGCATATATTTATGACATATGTTGTTTAGTTATGATACATGTATACATTATGAACTGGGTGACTCAAGCCACTTATATTCATCACCTCACAAATTTATCATTTCTTAGTGGGGAAATTTTAATGTTTTTTTTTAGTAATTTTGAAATATATACCACCTGATCAGCTATAGTTGACATGCTGTGCATTAGAAAAGCATAACTTATACCTCCTGTCTAACTGGAACATTGTGCACTTTAACCCACATCTCCCTTTCCCAGTCCACCCCTCCAGCCCCTGGTAACCAACATTCTACTCTATCTCTGCAAGTCTACTGCTTTAATATACTACAGTGAAATCTTGAATTACTCTTCCTCCGTTCCTGGCTTGTTTCACTTAGCATAAGGTCCTCTAGATTCAGGCATGCTGTCACAGAGGCAGGGTTTCCTTCTTATTTAAGGAAGAACATTACTCTGTTGTGTCTGTATGCATTTTCTTTATTCATTCATCCATTCATGGGAATTTAGGATGTTTCCATATCTTTACTATTTTAAAAGATGCTGCAATGAACATGAACATGGAGTGCAGATATCTCTTTGACATGTTGATTTCATTTCCTTTGGATACATAGCCAGTAGTGAGACTGCTGGATTCTACAGTAGATTTTGTTTCTTTATTTTTTGAGGAACATTTATAGTATTCTCCATAAATAGCTGTATTCATCTACATTTTCACTCTCCATATTCTGAGTTCTGTTTCTGTCATTTCAGCCATCTCAGCCCCATTCAGAACCCCTGTTGAAGAGGTGCTGCGGTTGTTTGGAGGAATGAGGGCGCACTTTTTGTTCTCATGACTTTTGCACTGGTTCTTTCTCATCTTTGTGGGCATATCCACCTTCAGTCTTTGAGGTTGCTGACTTTTGGATACATTTTTATTTTCTTTTATCCTATTGGATGATCTTGAGGGTTTGATTGTGGTATAAGGTGGATTCAGCCAACTGGCTTCATTTCTGGAAAAATTTAGGTGGTCAGTGCTCAGCTCCCAACACCTGGACTGTGTGCTCTAACTCTGGGGGAACTTATACAAGTCCCTGACTTGGTTCTCTGGCTCCTTAAGGTTAGGAATCCACTGTTCTTGGGGGGCTGGAGGTGTGGCAGCTGTGACAGAGTGCTAGTGGGTGTCTGGGGGCCTGCCTCCCTGCAGGTGTTCACCACAGTGGCAGAGGCACTGCATCTGTGGGTGTGTGGGGCCCTGCTGGTGACTGTGTTCAAAGTCACGCTGGAGGTGGTGTTGGCTCAGGGGTGGGACACTTGTGGGCACAGGTCCGGGTGCCGTATTCATGCCCCACAAGCAGGAGCAATTTCTGAATGTGTGAGATGATCTGCTATTCTCTGTGCAGAATTAGTGCAAGTGCGGGACGCTGACAGGAGCGGGCCTGGCTTTTTCCCCACCAAAGCTACCTCTGCCGTGGTGGTTGGGGTGGGGGGAGGGGACTGCACTCCACGCAATGGTGGGACAAGAAAAGCAAAACCCACCTATACAGACATGTGCCTGCAAAGTGATGTGGGGAGTTACGTGGGCCTGGGGGAACCTACAGTATTCGGAGGAAGTGTGTAAGCTGGTGTGTGCACATGAGAGCTGCCCGATTGGAGCTCTCCACCAGTCAGGCATGGTCTGCCAGGGCAGAAATTTTGGTGCAGGATCCCAGGGTGCCCGAGACTGCCCTGCAAGCAGGTATGGCCAGGCTAGGGCCCCAGGAGAGGCCAGTAGATGGAGGGGCACTCAGGTCCGTACATTATTTGAGAATATGGCCAAGTTTTATGTGAATGAGTGATGACTTGATTGTAATGCAGCATTTTATTCCAGTACACAAACATATCTCAAATTGTTTAACATTCACCTGTAATGGATATTCAATGTGTTCTCTCAGTTTCTGGCTTTTATACAGAAAGCAGCTATTCAGTGTGGGAATGTGAAAAAAATGAGAAAACTGTGATTTTATTCTGACCTCATTAACAACAAAGCTGAACAGCTACAAATAAAAGAGAGAAAAAGCATTCAACATATCTGAGTCGATTTCACCGAGCAAACAAGAAAACTGAAATCTGACAAGATAGGAGCCTGCAAAGAGAACCAGGACCTACCTGCTAGTGTACATAGGGCAGGTGCCACTGGATGGCATTTGAGATAGAAACAGACTAACCTAGAAATACTTAATGACTTTTTTTTAGTATGCATGTACTAATGGTGTTAGAGTGGCCTAGTGCTTGCAAGCTTTTCCTAGAGAACTTGAAAAATCCACGGACAACTTCCTCATCTGGTGTCTTGTGGTGTTGACTGGGGAAAAGAACAGCAGCTCCTGTGGAATGCCTGGATGCACCTCCACTACCTCCAGGGGAAATCCACCAAAGCATGTGTCATGTGAGCTGTGGTGAAGTCAACAGAAACAAAAGGAAACAGAGGACACCAAGGAAACTTGATCCAGAAACACCTCCCATCTCCTTCCTCAGGAAAGAAATCCTTACTCTTTAGGGTAAGGATAGTGGGTAAAAAGCTGGGGACACTGGTGAAAAACAATTCTGTATGGGAAAATACATTCCAGCCCTGGGGAAAGAGTTAAGGACAGGACAATCTGCAAGGCCACTCCCCAGAACTATGCTTACTACTCCTGCATAAGAAGAAGACTCAGTCAGAAGGTTGGAGGACGTCCCGCTTTGTCCAAGCTCCTTCACCACACAGTCAGCAATTTAAACTGTCAGTAGGGTGCACTTTCCACAGCTGAAAGAGACAGACTCCCTGGGGAAAACTAAATATAAAGACCCAGGATCAAACAGGGACACAAAAGCAAGTATCATGGGAGGAACTTGAAATCTCTGTGGACAGCAGAAGCTGACTTCAACTCTGATAATTGTGGCATCCATAAATTGCAAATATAGCCCTGAATAGATACACACAAATGTCTATAATGAAGGCCCAGCAGAATGGAATGTGTGACCATCTTCAGGAAGAAAATAATGAATACATGAGTACAAGAAAATAAATTACAAATAAAAGTCAAACTTGAATTCTATATGTATTAAAAATTTCATTTAAAGAGAAAGTCAAATGAATACCCTGTAAGACAATTCGATTCTGAGAAAATTTATTGCCAGTGCATTCATCCTTCAGTAGGTGCTTTGGCAAATTTTCTGCCAGGGTGAGTAGCCATATGATATACATCTGAAACATGAATCTATCCAAATAAAACAGGTGGTCAAGAATGAAAAAATGAAGTTGAAATGTAGTTTTTATATTTTTAATTGTTCTAATATATGTCTATGTAAAGTAACGATAAAAATGCACATATTATATTTTATAGCACATATAAGTGCAAACTGAGAATAAACTAAGACAACGGATGAGAAACAGGGTTTAGAAGAATACAGTTATAATAGCTCTACAACCTATGAAGAGGTTTTACATTATTTGAATTAGAATCTGATTATATACAATTCGTATTGTATATCTTATGGCCAATATAATATTCATAAAGGATGAACTAAACGATAAGTTAATAGAGAATAAACATGATCATAAAATGCTAAATTAAAACAGAAATTAACAGAAAAATAGTAATACCAGTTTTAAAACAGAATTTATTATAGTTGTTTTAAAAAGCAAGACCCAACTATTAGCTCTGTATAGAAATTTGCTCTACATAGGAAAGTTAAATACAGGAAAACATGGACCATGAAAATATGAACGAAAAGAAAGCGTGCTTAGCTATGTTAAATTCAGACAAGGTAGACATAAGACTTTCAGGAATCAAGGGGCATATTACATAGGGTAAAGGGATCAGTTTTCTAAAAGGCATCACCAAAGATTTAACCAATGGATCTGCAATAGAAAATAGGCTAACATCTATAACAGATAGAGACTTCGACACTTATTGTGATTGACAAAACAAACGTGATAAAATAGGTAAATACATAAGTGACCAGAATCAACTTATTTCACTAGTTTCATTTATAGAATATTCAATGGGAAGACAGCAGGAACCCAAACTGTGATTAACCAGAAGATATTAGAGGGACATGGTGATTGAATTTGATGTGGTTACCTGAGTTGAACAAAGAAACAAACAAAAAGCAATAGGAAAGTGAGACTTTATCTCAAAAAGAAAAGAAAAAGGAAAAAAGGAAACTGTTAAAAATTGGCAAAATTCAAATAAATCCCAGAGCTGAATAAACAGAAAATTATCAATGTAAATATATTAGTCCCATGTCCCATTTTTTTAACATACTAACTTTAGTGAAAACTCGGAGATGGATGTGAACACACTGTATTTTCCTTACAATTGTTCTGATAATCTATAATTATTCCAAATAAAAAGTGTGTAAAATATAAAGTAACAATCATAAAAATAATAGTTCAAAGAACTTATAAAATAGGCTTCTGAAAATAATATTGTTACTAACATTATTATGGATAATTATTTTAGAGGATAATACTGAAATGATCATCAAAGTAGTGGACAGATGTTTATTTATTTCAGAAAAAGATGTGAGGCATCTCATATTAAACACTAGTGATGGAAGTGTTTATAGAGTTATTTTATCATCTATAATACGATGGATGAAAAGCATTATCATAAGCATTTGATGGATGAAAAGCATTACTCATAAGCATTTATTTAGCCAATATCATGAATGTATTATAATTTCCTCAATTGTGCACCACTTTTGTGTTAATACCATGTGAACATTTTCCACTGCGTGTGTCATATCTAAAAATTTGAACTAGTTTGTTTCTTATTAACGTGACTCTTGTAAATGCTGTAGGCATTGCTAATGTTCTCTGTAATTTCTCTACTGGTGACTTTTTCCTAATATTTTAACATGATAAATTTGGATTAATACAACTATGTAATTTAATAATATATTTTAAACTTCATAGTCGTACACACACAGACACACACACACACACACACACAACAGCCAAGCAATGACACATATATGCGTCCATGCAAAAATGAATGTATATTAAACACCAAAACAACACACCCATTTTTTCTATATTATTTTAATTATTTAACTGAATGTAACTTGTATTTGCAGTTTCATTTTTGAATGAATGTAAATGCCATTCTTGCCAAATATATTACTTAAGTGTACAGTGGTATTTACTTTTTTTTTTGAGACAGTGTTTTGCTCTTGTCGCCCAGGCTGGAGTGCAATGGCGTGTTCTCGGCTCACCGCAACCTCCACCTCCCGGGTTCAAGCGATTCTCCTGCCTCAGCTTCCCCACCATGCCCAGCTAATTTTGTATTTTTAGTAGAGAGTGGGTTTCTCCATGTTGGTCAGGCTGGTCTCGAATTCCCGATATCAGGTGATCCACCCACCTTACCCTCCCAAATTGCTGAGATTACAGGCATGAGCCACTGTACCCAGCCAGTATTTACTTTTTAAATATCAGTCAGTTATTAATAAATTGAATAATAAGACAAACATCACTTAAATTTTTATTAAATCATTGATTAAAGTAACATTGTATTTTTTTAAACTAGGCAAGATATAACTTTTCTATTTGAAAAATTTTTTAAAAAACTTTTTGGTGTTAATTTTCAATACAAACTCTAGTCTTTATTTGCCAATATGCCTTTATAATAAAGAACATCCAGTGATAGGAAACTGAAAGCAGCCCATGCTTTGCAGGATTCAATCACAATGGCAGCTTGCTGGAGGGTGGTCTGAGAGTGTGCAAACACATTAGGGATTTGGACTTCATGAAAGCACTAGTGAGCCCCTGGGCTGAGCACACAGAGGGTAGCATGAGTTGCAGAGCCCAATCTGTGGTACTGAGGGAAAAAGAGGAATGGGTGGGGGTTATGTCTGCAGGACCCTAGAAAAGTGTGATGAGGGCAGAGAGTCTGCAGGTAGAGCATATTCTAAGGAGAACTGTTACTCTCCTAAACTTGGTTGGCTTCAGTGATCATGAAAAGAAGTGAACTGATTTACCAGACATGGGGGACAGAAAGTAAAAGGACTTCCTGTTTCCTGCATGGAGAGTGAGGAAGATAAAATATTTTGACAGAAAAAGAGAAGATGGAGAAAGTTTGAGAAGCAAAACACCAGGGGCCAAAGTGGAGGACATGAGCCCTTAAAGCGGTGTTTCATCTGCACAAACAGCCGATGAAAGGAAAAGAAACTGGACCCCACGCATATGCTGAGTTGTTAGAAAAGCATTTACAATAGTGTGTCTGACAGCACAGAAAACAAAAAAATTGTGCATAGAGCCAGACTTTGGATTGAATATACACAATTAAAAAAAATTATACTGAGATATATCATTGCTAGTATAACTCTGAAAATAGGCAGAGTTTAAAGTTGAATTGAACCCCTGTTCTAAGTTAATGTTTTATAGGTGAAAGAAACCATGAGTTACAAGGAAGACATGGTAAGAGATCCTGGGGAAGACTTTTGCTTGACCAGGTCAGGAATCACCAAGGTGGAAAAGGAAACCTCACCCTCCCCAGGTACCTGATATGGAGCTGCCTCCAAAGAGCCCCTTGGAGGTCCTGAGTGTCCCCTCGTGTCCTGAGCCATCCTTGCTGTCCTGAACACCTGCTGGTGGTTCTGAGCGCCCTCTGGTGGATCTGAGCGACCCCTGGAGGTTCTGAGCGTCCCCTGGTGTCCTGAGCGCCCCCTGGTGGTTCCTCAGTGCCTACTAGTGTCCTGAGTGTCCCCTTGTGGTTCCTGAGCGCCCCCTGGTGGTTCTGAGCACCCCTTGGTGTCCTCAGTGCCCCCTAGTGGTTCCTGAACCTCCCCTGGTTTCCTGGGCACCCTCTGGTTTCCTGGGTGACCCCTGGTGGTTCCTGAGCGCCCCCTAGTGTCCTGAGCATCCCCTGGTGTCCTGAGCGCCCCCTGGTGGTTCTGAGCATGCCCTGGTGGTTCTGACCGCCCGCTGGTGTCATGAGCGCCCCCTGGTGGTTCCTGAGCTTCCCCTGGTTTTCTGAGTGTCCTCTGGTCGTTCTGAGCACCCGCTGGTTTCCTTAGCATCCCCTGGTGTCCTGAGCACTCCCTGGTGGTTCTGAGAATCCTCTGGTGTCCTGAGCACCCCCTGGCAGTTCTGAGTACCCCTTGGTGTCTTGGTCACATCCTGTGGTTCTCAGCACCCCCCCACCACAGTCTCATGAGCGCCCCCTGGTGTCCTGAGCGCCCCCTGGTGCTTCTGAGCACCCTCTGGTGTTCTGAGCACCCCCTGCTTCTTCTGAGCGCTCCCTGGCAGTTCTGAGCGCCCCCTGGTGTCCTGAGCACCTCCTGGTGTTTCCTGAGCGCCTGCTGGTGTCCTGGGCTCCCCCTGGTGATTCTGCCTGCCCCCTGGTGTCAACACCCCTTAGTGGTTCTGAGCAGCTCCTAGGTTCCTTAGGGCCCCCTGGTGGTTCTGAGTGCCTCCTGGTGTCCTGAGCACCCCCTGGTGGTTCTGAGCGCCCCCTGGTGTCCTGAGCACCCCCTGGTGGTTCTGAGTGCCTCCTGGTGTCCTGAGCACCCCCTGGCGGTTCCGAGTGCCCCCTGGTGTCCTGAGCTATCCCTGGTGGTTCTGAGTGCTCCCTTGTGTCCTGAGCGCCCCCTAGTGATTCATAGCACCTCCTAGTGTTCTGAGCGCCCCCTGGTGTCCTGAGCGCCTCCTGGTGGTTCTGAGCACCCTCTGGTGTCCTGAGGGCCCCTTTGTGGTCCTGAGCGCCCCCTGGTGTCCTCAGCACCAGCTAGTGGTTCTGAGCGCCCCCTGGTGGTTCATAGCACCCCCAATTGTTCTGAGTGCCCCCTGGTGGTTCTGAGCACCCCCTGGTGTCCTGAGCTCCTCCTGGCAGTTCTGTGCACCCTACCTGATGGTCCTGAGTGCCCCCTGGTGGTGCTGAGCACCCCCTGGTGTCCTGAGCCCCTCCTGGTGGTTCTGTGCACCCTCCCTGATGGTTCTGAGTGCCCCCTGGTGGTTCTGAGCAGCATCTACCGCATAGTCCCCTCCTGTCTCCCTGCAGTGAGCTTTGTGTCTGGGCTCACACAGGGTTTCCCTCACTGTGTCACTCACAGTAATACATGGCCTTGTCCTTGGCTTTCAGATTGGTCATTGTAAGGCAGACTGCACTTGAAAGGGTGTTGCTTGAGATTGTTAATTTATTTGTATTCATGGAGAGTAACCCTGAGAATTCATACTTGATCGCTCACTGTTGGCATCCACACCTATCCCTGTTGTGAAGCGTGCTGGACCAAGCTCATGCTGTAGCCAGTAAAGGTGAAACCAGAGGCTTTGCAGGAGAATCTCAACCGCTGGGCTGTAAAATTTTCCCCCTCTGACTCCATCAGTAAACTTCACACAGGACTTCCATGAACACAGAAAACAGACTGAGAAAATCCCCATGAGGAGCAGCCACAGCTGGACCTGTTTTACAAAGGCCACTAATGTTGACGGGGATGAGAAGGGAATCCAGATCAGTGCAGACCCCATGGTGTGGACACTGAGGAAGGGCACAGACATGGGGTGGCTCCTCGCCAGGGCCTGAGGGAACAGGGGATAAGCTGCCTTTCTTGAGAAGGGGAGGGGACACATTTCCATGTCTTTCTTTTTGTGGTCATGGGTGCACCGCTCAGCATTGCTCATCCATCCTCTGTGTCTACATTTCAGGGAAGTCAAGGTCAAAGGATTTCTGGGTCTGGATGCACAGAGTTAATCTGCCCATTACTCTTTTTTATTCTCTAGTGTGGACGCTGTTCAGGTATTTTCATAATAGCAAACATTATCAACAAATATGTCCAGTAAGAACATAAAAATATGTTTCCAGAGAAAATGGACACCTGTCTCTAATTGGTACATTTAGAGCTGCAAACTACTGTTCTTGACAATAAGGCAAAGTTAGGTTACAATGAAAAAAATACATATCTACGCCTTGTCAGGGAGGGGGTTTATAATTATCATTATCTTGAGATCATTTTGCCACAGAACAATTCGACATTGGATATATGTGTTTGTGTAAGGAAACAGTCAATGTGGACATATGTGTACTTATCTGAATTGAGTTCACATGGAGACATGTTTGCTTGTCTGAGACAAGAGTCCACATGAGGAAATGTCTGTTTTCTGAGGAAAGAGTAAATGTCAGAACATATGTGGTAGTCTGAGGAAAGAGTCCACGTGGGGACATGTGTGTTTGTCTGAGGAAAGAATCCACATGAGTAACGGTGCATTTATCTGACAGAAGAGTCCACATGTTGACAGGTGTGTGTCCCCATCTGAGGGTAAATGCCCATTCAGGGACAGTGTATGCCTGAACTGAGCTGAAGTTTGGGGAAATATTTCTCAACCAAGGAAAGAAAATAATCCTGTGGGTTATTTGCTTGTCAAGAGGAAAAAACCTGGGTCACGTAGAAAATTGATTTTAAAAAAAATTAAAAAATTAAAGGTCTTTAGTGAATGGCAACATCTTATATGCAAATCAGGAAAATTACCTCATTCTTTGTTGCATACATCTCATGAAATCTCCACCCTCACAAAATAAGTAATGAGATAATTTTATACAATCTGCATTTGATCCTTGGGTTAATGAACTGCTAAGTACTTTTTTTTAATTGTGTATATTTAGGTTTATATTTTCCATCATAAAATTATGTGCTTAGACAAATTAATTGTGTCATATCTGAACCATTGCATATCACTATAAATAATTTTAATCTTCTTAAACAGTGTCTTTTTAACTTATTTTATACCCAGTCTCTAAGCTCCTGGAATATCCTCTATATGTTTACTTGACTACAGTTTTGGCTTTTATAGAATTTCAAATAAATCAAATTATACAGTGTCATTGAAATGACTTCACTGAAGAAACTGGAAAATGAAGTTGCTGACCTAAGGAACTTTGAAAATGAGGAAACTCTATAATAAGTGTAAAGAAACTGAATATAAGCACTCTATTCTAGTAGATAAACATGTTTCCAACAAGGTTACAGCTTTACATTTCTGATACTGCTATGCATGTGTCCTGAAATTGTGCAGCTAAGTAATCAAATGGCATATGGTTGGATGGGGTTCCTCACTTTGCAGTGAGTGGTTATAGACAGTCAAGGAAGGAAGGCTAGAAAGGTCCATGTGGTAGCATAATTGGGTAGAGAGACCAGTGTGTTCTCACTTTTAATGTAATCAAATTACAGAAGGTTAGATACATAGTTTACTAGGCCAGTCAGTTGAGAGGTCCTACAAGTACTTATACCACGTTAACAATGCACATACCCAGTATTACAATTTTTTAAATACTATTCTTTAACATCAGAAACAAGCAGTCTTTAGAAAAATGGCTGATTCTATGTACGAAAAAGATAATATAGAAAATGAGTTTAGAATTTATTATAATAGCAGGAAACAGGGAAGTGTTCAAAAACAAAAGCATGAGGTGAGCTGTAAGGATGCAGGATCCAAACTAAATGAGCTCCCAGCACATAATAAAGCTGTGGTGGTTTGAAAAATAAAATGAATAATGTAGCATGGATCTTCTTCAGAGTATGAAATAGACATCCATAAACCAATACACATATTAATAAGTGATCAAATAAAGAAATAATAGGAAGAAGAACACATCTTTTTACAGAAGTATTCCAACTATGTTAGGTTGATAGTCCTCCAATCAAGTAGGTGAAGCTTAAACACTCATGAGTTGATTGTAGCCTGAGACTAGAGACATGGAAAAAGTAATCATATTAGTATATTTTATAATGAGATTTCAGATATAATACCAAAGACATGATCTGTAGATGAATAAAATTTTATTTTTTAAATCTAAATTTGTATAAACACACACACACACACTTTTCTGCAATACACACTGATAAGGGAGTAAAAGACAGCCACAGACTTGGAGAAAATACTTCCAAGTCACATATTTGTTAAATGAATTCTTTTAATTTGTTAAATGACTTTTATAATCAATATGCAAGTAAACTTACAACTAATCAAAAGAAAACAATACAGTTAAAAATGAACCAAATATGAGAAGAGGCATCTCAGCAAAAACTATATGAAAATTGTTAAATGTAAATTTTTATTAAGGAAATGTGCATTTAACTAAAAATTAGATACCATTACTCACCTATTAGAATGGTTAAAACACATAATTCTCATAATTGTAAATGGCAATATGAATGTGGAAAACCAAGAACTATCATGCATTGATGGTGGGAATTCAAAATGCTACATGCACAAATGAGTTTTTTTGGCATTTTTAAAAATAGAGATAAAATGTGATTTGTGTATGTGTTCCAAAATATTTACAACACTGATTCAGAAATTGATGTTTACACAGATACCTACAGAGGAAGTTCTGTATCAGTTTTATTAATTCAATCCCTGAAATTTGCTTGCAGAATAAATATTGTATGAAAAATCTCTCAAGTAATTAAAATTTCTCAAGTACACATTTATATTGTTTCTTTTCCTTAATGACTTAATGTCATTTTCTGAGAAAGTCTTCAATCTAATAATCTTTGTCATTTCCTCCATGCCAGTACAGCTGCTTCCTCCCTGGGGTTTCTGACACTCTCAGGATGTGGGTTTTCACTCTGTGTCTCTCGCACAGTAATACACGGCCGTGTCCTCAGATCTCAGGCTGCTCAGCTGCATGTAGGCTGTGCTCGAAGATGTGTCCCTGGTAATGGTGACTCTGCCCTGGAGCTTCTGTGAATATTTTGTGTTACCATTGCCAGCGTTGATCCATCCCATCCACTCAAGCCTTTGTCCAGGGGCCTGGCGCATCCAGTTCATAAAGTAGTCGGTGAAGGTGTATCCAGAAGCCTTGCAGGAGACCTTCACTGAGGCCCCAGGCTTCTTCACCTCAGCTCCAGACTACACCAGTTGGACCTGGGAGTGGGCACCTGTAGAGAAGACACAGGAGTGGATGGAAGCCCCCTTGACTGGCCTCAATCCCTTCCTCCTCACTGGGATTTGGCAGCCCCTTACCTGTGGCTGCTGCCACCAAAAAGAGGATCCTCCAGGTCCAGTCCATGGTGAGGAGCTGTGCTCTGGGGGCTTCTTCTGAGGAGGGATGTGGTTGTTGGGTGATGCTCTCAGGGCACAAAGATATCTATAGTCATATCAGTTATTTGCATATTCATGAGCGATGCTATTTCATACCTAACACAGCATGAGAAAGAATGGAGAGATGACACATGGATTACCCAACAGGAGGATGCTAAGGGTTCAAGCTATAATCCCCTTAGAGGCCATGTGTGCCCTGCCACATCCCTAAGCTGTATGTTGACAGAGCTTCTGGAGAACAATTTTCTCCAGAACAGTGGAGAACACTGGAGAACAATTTTCCCTAGAACAGGACTTCACTGGGAACCCACACTTGAATAGCTCAGAGGTAATTTAAAGCATTTCTAGGCTTTAATACATGAATGTGTTATTTGGGGGATGAGTGTGTTTCTCCAAAAGTTGCACTTATTTATATAAAATAAAAGCTTAATTGATCTCCAGATGCTTACTATTAAGGTATGTAGCAGGGTTAGAAATCTCCAGTGTAAATTGATAAATTCTTGCAATTGAATAGGATATTTATGGAATCTTCAGCAGTCTTTGTCAAATACTTATTTTAGATTTTTTTAGAAGAATGACACAGATCTTGAGAGGAATCCCTCCCCAGCCTCCTGTGCACCTGCTCTGGGGCTGGGGCCTGTGCTGGGTGGGCCTTGAGCGCCCCCTGCAGCCCAGCCCTTGCACTGCAGAGAGGCTCCTGTCTGGGCTCCCAGAGCATTTTCCTCCCTGTATGAAGTGGCTGTGTCCTGGCTCAGAATGCTTCTTTAGTGACACGTGACACCATGTCCTGCTGACACCATCGCTTGCAATAGTAAATTGGTTGTAGGAAAGCCAGTGAACTCTGCAGAAACACCCCAAACAAGGATTCTATGAAACCACCAGGGAGCCCCTTCTCTGGAGCTCCGGAAGCACTGGATCAGTCCACACTCACAATGAGTCCAGGAGCTCCCAGGGGCTTTGGGAGAACACCTAATCTCTTGTCGGTTCCTTTGGATGAACATCTCATCAGATAATTTCTAAACCTACAAAATCATGGGTCTCAGAGCCCACTGCGAAACTCCTAATACACACACACACACACACACACACACACACACGGGTGGTTAGAGTCCCCACAGTAATGGACACACACACACACACACACACACACACACACACACACACTGTGTCTAGAGTCCTCACAGTAATGAGAGGGAACTGTGTCTTACTCCCTGTGTCTAGCGCATTGGCTGTGTGCCCATAGTGCCTCTAGGCCTGGGGATATGCCCTTGTCAAGCAGAACAACAGCAAACACTTTACTGGAGATGGGGCCCTGCACACACTGTGGCTTCCCTGTTCTCCCAGAACCTGGGATCCTGCAGATACCCCTAAGAAGAGTCCAGGCTCCCCCAGGAGGGTCAGCCACAGCCCAGCCCCACCGAGTTGGTGCAGCCTGCACTGAACTGCTGACCTGTGGAGAGGGTCACAGCAGACCCACAGCCCAGCCAGCCCCACTCCCAGAGGCACATCAAGGAAGGGGGCAGAACCCTTGGGACTCTTGATGGGCATCTTTTCAGGAGCAGACACAGGAACCGTTCCAGGAACAGGGGACCTGGGAAGGTCAGTAGCTGGTCAGGGTTTCTGAGGACGAGTGTCAGTGATGGGACCAGCCTGTCCCTTCTCATATGGGATGTCTCTCCTGGGGATCCTGTACTGTCTTATTTGTGCAGGTCCACTCTGTGGGACTTGTCTTTATAAATCTCAAATCTCAGGAACAGGAGAGCTGTGCTTCAAAAGCCCCCATAGAGAAGACACATTCCCATCCTGCTGTGATTGAAACAGCTCCATCCTGGGCATGGGGAGGGCTCATGTGTCCCACCTGGGATGAGAAGCAGCAGCCACACGTGAGCTGAGGAGGACCCAAGGCTGCTTCCCAGCACTTCCCCACAGAGTGAAATGTGTCTGTTTGCCCCAAATCCAAGCTGGTCCTGTGACTTGCTTCTTTCAAATTTCTTGGCCTGGAAAGTGCAGGCACCAGCTGTCAATGTCACCACTATTGTGACACTGTACACAGAACCAGGGAAGGATCCCAGGGATGGGGCTGAGGACAGACACTAGCTAAGTGGACCCATTGAAAACATGCAGATCTGCTGGGGTTCACACTCCTGGAAGGACAGATCTTGGAGGGTTTGGAGGAGGAAGGCGCCACTGTCGGTGACTCAGGAGCTGCTGCTCTGCGGGTCACCTCGTTGGCAAGTAACAGTGGGTAGGTGAGTGTGGTTCATCCCCTACAGGGACAGCCCCTCTTCACCAGGAAAGAAAGTGGCTTTGTTCATACTGGTTTCCCCGGCCGTCTGGTCATCCTCTCTTCCTGACCTTCTTCCCATGGCCCTCAGGGCTGTGAAACATGGACAAAGACACTTTCTACTCCAACCGTTGATTACCCAGGTCAGCTCCCTCTAGAAAAGCCATGATGCCTTCCTGGTTCTGTGTGCCTGGCTGAACCAGAATGGACACACATGGATATACCAAAGTGTCAAAGTGGAGGAGAGGAATCTTGGCAAATATCACACAGGAAAGAGAAAGGAATTCGTTTGTATGCAATGAGAGGGTGCAGGGCATGTCTGGAGGCTGCAGGAGCCAGAAGCTTCATATTTTTTTAGTGACCTCGGTTTTGTCTCCCCTGTTGTTGTGAGGCTTCCCTGAGTTCTCCTCCTCAGATAGACTCTGTGCCTTTTCACACAATGACCTGTAGGAGATGTTTACACCAAACAAGAAGCCTCAAACATGGTTTATATTCTGATCTAAATTTTCGGAGGATAAACTC
This sequence comes from Homo sapiens, assembly GCF_000001405.40. Lineage (NCBI taxonomy): Eukaryota > Metazoa > Chordata > Mammalia > Primates > Hominidae > Homo > Homo sapiens. The sequence continues at coordinate 21,738,784 of NC_000015.10, forward strand.
AAGACAGATTCAAAGAAGTGATTATAAAGTATCAGTATGTAGCACTTGGTTGAGAAAACCTTAAACTCATATTATTTTTATGAACCACATGCATAACAAAACTTTGTCCAATTCCTCCACTTTATCAGAGACTGCCTGCAGGATGAATTTCAATGCCATCTAATTTAGAGTAGGAGCAAAACTTAAAATCCTCTATAGGTCTGAGTGCCACTAACAACCAAAAAAAATTTCGACCATTATGAAGTTTTAAGAGATGCCACAATGACAGCCTGGGTTGATAGGTGATGGCATTTTCCCTGAGCATATTCTGTGAAGAGTGATTATGGTAGCTTTTCCTTCTAATGAGGAGAAAGCAACAGAGAAAGTAAAAAAAATAATAATAATAATCACGAAACAGAAAAAAGTGGCCCAAATTGTTTAACAAAAAAAAAGCACTAGAAACTGCCACAAATTAAAAGGAGATATATTGATTACCTAGCAGAAAATTCAAAGTAAACCTTATAAATATGTTCACTGAGCTAGGGGAAGAATGCACGAACAACATGAAAGTATTAACAGGGACAAAAAAGGGAGAGAGATGAGATACAATGATTTGTGGCTTAACAGTAGGGATACATTGGCCAGGCGCAGTGGCTCATGCTTGTAATCCCAGCACTTTGGGAGGCCAAAGAGTGTGGATCACCTAGGTCACGAGTTCAAGACCAGCCAGGGCAACATGGTGAAACCCCATCTCTCCTAAAAATAGAAAAAAAAGAATTAGCTGGGCGTGGTGGTACATGCCTGTAATCCCATCTCCTCAGAAGGCTGAGGCAGGAGAATCGCTTGAGCCTCGGAGGTGGAGGTTGCAGTGAGCCAAGATTGTGCCACTGCACTCCAGCCTGGGTGACAGAGTGAGACTCCATCTAAAAAAAAATGAAAAACAGTAGGGATACGTCTGAGCAATGTGTCCTCAGGCAATTTGTCATTGTGCAAGGATCATAGAGTGTGTTTACACAAACCTACATGAAATACCCTGCTACACCCAGGCTGTGTGGGATAGCATAGTGCTCCTAGGTAACAAATCTGTATGTCATGTAAGTGTACTAAATACTGTGGGCAGCTGAATCACCATAGTAGATGTTTATACAGATGAACATATCTAAGCATGGAAAAAATGCAGTGAAAATACAGTATTATAATCTAATGAGACCTTTGTCATGTATGTGGCCTGTTGTTCACCCAAATATCAAAATGTGCATGATTCTATTCAAGTTGCTGAAAAAAAAAGCCAAAAAACTTCCAAATAAATATCTTACAGGGATTAAAGCTTTTCTTCAGTAATGCAGGATGTTTGAGAAGTTTCCCAAAAAAGTAAAAAGTCGACAAGTTCATCACCACTAGGCCGGCCTTACAGGAATGCCAAGTGTCTCTGGCAGGTTTCCTGAACAAGGAAGTAGCTGCATCAGCTCCACTCTGTTATCTGCCAATTGATAGATTTGCATAGTTTTTAATTTTAATTTCTCTTCTGTTTTTTCCCTCCATAAACTCCTTCTCCCTTCCTTTCATAATTCTGTCTATTAATGCAACTCATATTTAGCTGACAATGCTGGGGTCATTGGAATAAATTTCTATTTTTCCTCCACCAATTCTAATAAGCTGTCTCCAGGGGTGTCCATCTCCGTTTTCTTTTCTGCCATTCCCATGGGATAATTTCCTTGTTCCTATGTGAGTCCAGCCCTCATCACCACGGGCCATCCAACCATCATGCACCCAGGAACAGCTTCAGGAAATGTACCCTGCCAGCTGCCTATCAGCCTCCACCTGCACAGTGATCATTCCTTCAGCTTTCACTCAGGCCGGAGGGCTTTCCACCCAAAAGGGCCTTTCACACCCACTCCCAGCACAGTTCTAGGACCCTGTATACCTCCCAGATACAGGTACATATCCTTCCCCTTTGTTGTTAATTTTGTTTAATTTATTTAAAATTCACTGGGAAATCACTGATGATGGGAGTGACCAGCCTGTCCATTCCATTTTCTGTCCACCATCTGACGGCACCACCTGTGAGGTTGGCCACCCTAGTGTGCTGTGCTCATGGGGCCATCTGGACATACACAAACACCAGGTGTGTGAGTTATTAGAGGAGGCCCGGGATCAGCAGGTGGCTGTGCCCCACAGGACACAGGTCTGTCCTGCAGTAGAGCCCGCATGACCTGGAATCATACGTGTGCATGACCCGTGGTCTCAGCACATCAGCTGAGGCCAGCTTCAGGCAATTCCTGTGTAACCTGCCCTGGGCGCCCACAGAGGACAGATGCATGACAAGGATGTAAGGGAATGCTGCGGATTAGGGGAACTGAAGCTCAATCTTTACTGAGGCTTTACTCGGCACCTGGACCTTATGGAAGACTAAGAAGAAGAGAACAAGAGTCCAGCCCCAAATAGCTCCTGGTTTAGGGTCAGCTTTAGTGGGATTTTAGAGAGTAGAAGACACAGGGGTGATGCTGGAGTGGTTTTCTTTGGGATACTTGGGGCAGCAGAAGGTGGGCCGGGATCAGGACTCCATCTGGCTGGTTCTCATTATCTACATGGATTCTCATGGTGGAAAGTGAGAGACATGACCTAGAACACAGCCCCCAGGGCTGATCTCAGAGACGCCTGCTAAGTGAATGACTCAGCAGAAATGTGGTGGGGTTTTCATCTTGGATCTATTTTTCTTTATAAAAATAATCTGAGAGATGTGTCCAGCCTCAGTGGGCTGTTTCTCCCTCCAGGAGACAGAGCTAACACAATTGTATCTGTGAATCCGCTTGGCTTTCCATCAGAAGATACCACAGACTAGGTTGTTTCAAATAACAAATATTAATTTTCTTATTGTTCTGGAGTCTTGATGTCCAAGATCTGGGTGCAGAAAGGGATAGTATTTTGTTTTTTGAGAGGCCTCTTCCAGGCTTGCAAAGGGCCACCTTCTCATGCAGTGCATCCCCACATGGCCTCTCCTCTGTGTGCATGTGGAGAGAGAGGTCTCTGATGTCTTCCACTTCCCATAAGGACAAGAGTCCTACTGGATTAGGGTCCCACATTTATGGCCACAGTTAACTTATTTGCCCTCTTAAAATCCCTCACTCCAAATACAGAGCCACTGGGATTGGGGTTTCAGCATATGAATTTAAGAGAAGGACACGATGCAGCCAATGACGTCAATCAAGGGATAGTGAGAAGCCTTGAAATATTTTATTTGTCAAGAAGGTAAAATGGGCCTTGTGGGAATTTGTTGAAAAAAAGGTGCCAGTGACTGTTAAAACCTTAATGGTAAACAGAGAAATTTCTCCCTTCTTTCTTGCCTGCAGTGAGGATGTGAGGAAGCAGAACCACAAACAATAAAGAAAGAGGAGCCCTGGGGACAGCTGAGGTGCTGGCGAGGAGGGAGACCACTGAGCAGATGAGGAAGCCCCGCCCTCCCTGCCCCTGCTCCTGACCCGGCCTCATGCTCTGTGGGCCCCGCGCCCCCTGCTGGTCCTGAGCAGCACCTGCGTCCGCGCCCTCCGCCTCCTGGCAGGGAGGTTTGTGTCTGGGCTCACACTCACCTCCCCTCACTGTGTCTCTCGCACAGTAATACACGGCCGTGTCCGCGGCGGTCACAGAGCTCAGCTTCAGGGAGAACTGGTTCTTGGACTTGTCTACTGATATGGTGACTCGACTCTTGAGGGACGGGTTGTAGTTGGGGCTCCCACTATGATAGATTTCCCCAATCCACTCCAGCCCCTTCCCTGGGGGCTGGCGGACCCAGCTCCACCAGTTACTACTGCTGATGGAGCCACCAGAGACAACGCAGGTGAGGGACAGGGTCTCCGAAGGCTTCACCAGTCCTGGGCCCGACTCCTGCAGCTGCACCTGGGACAGGACCCCTGTGAACAGAGAGACCCACAGTGAGCCCTGGGATCAGAGGCAGCCTCCCCTATCTTCATGTCTGGATCCCTGAGATACTCACATCTGGGAGCTGCCACCAGGAGGAGAAAGAACCACAGGTGTTTCATGTTCTTGTGCAGGAGGTCCATGAGTCTCAGAAAGTATTTCCCATGTGAGCTGGACCCTGAATTTAAGGAAATGTGTGGTGGTTTCCTGTGGGTGCCTAAGCGAGGATTTGCATGTAGGTAGTGCCTTTGTATAAAGAGGTGAAAAGGGATGAGGGAGGCCCCAGTCTTTTAGGCTCACCCTGGGATGAGGATGCTTGCTTTGCCCTTTGAGAACTCAGTTCTCTTCCTGGGGCCTCAACTAGCCATGTCCTGGCTCCTCTTTTCCCAGGTGAGGAAGTAGATTGGAACAGCAGCTTAATGTAATAATCATGTGAGTTCAGACACACCAGGATTCACTTAATGTAATTTATAGTTCAGGACATCCATCATGTTTAGAGGGAATCTCTCTGTTCTAGGGAGTGGGCCACTTTTTAAAAGTGTTTAAATTAAAATAAATTTTTTAGATGAACTTTTGCTCCTTTGCGCAGGCTAGAGTGCAGTGGCCCGATCTCAGCTTACCGCAACCTCCACCTCCTGGGTTCAAGTGATTCTCCTGCCTCAGCCTCCCAAGTAGCTGGGAGTACAGGCACGCACAACCACCCCCATCTAATTTTTATATTTTTAGTATAAGGTTTCACCATGTTGGCCAAGCTAGTCTCAACGTCCCGACATCAGGTGATCCACCCACCTTGGCCTCCCAAAGTGCTGGGATTACAGGCCTGAGCCACCATTTTAACTAAGGCACTGGGAGCTGCCCTCTGAGACCTTTTGAGTCCTGGAATTCTTTCTGAGACCTTAGGAGAGACTCGTGGGACATATCTTCATCATTCTCAATGTGTGACCCTGAGGATGTGGCCTGACCTCTGTACACTTCTGTGTGAAAGAGTAGATTGTGAATTGCAGTGACAATTTCATATGTAAACTCTATAATAGGCCAGCACTGGAGGATATTCTCATCACCAAGATTACTGCAGTTACCTTTCCTGGAAACCAGAGAGGAACTCTGTGAGCCCTCACCTCTGAGTGCACAAGGAACCCTGGTCCTGACAGGTCTCACATGCGACATGGGGGAAAACAAATACATTCAAATCCAGTGTTTTCACCCATATATTGACCAATCTAGCCTGATCTATCTGTCTCTGAAAAGCCTTTTCCTTCATTGAATTGCATGAACATACCCTTGGGTATGGGGTATTGCAATGTGGGTATTTGGTGTTTGTTTAGTCAATTATGTAATTAATAGGCTACCTCCATGAATGTGTGTAGCAGTAGAGTTATCAGAAGTTGGGTGAGTCATATTATCAGGACAAACCTGGACTCTCTTCTTGGGACCTGGACAAGTGGCCAATCTTCTGTGGTAAAGCAAAGGGGAAGAGACAGATCCAACATCTAGAAGCAGGGTAGCTCCTCACTTACCAGCTGGTGTCTGGGCCTTTTGTTTGAACAGACCAAAACGACCTACCTTCACCTTCAGGGAAATGATGAACTTCGTATGAAATTGAGATTAATTTTCACTTACAGAGAAGAAAATGTCATAGGCATGTATATATCTATGTGGGTGTGTACGGGTTTCCAGGATGTGCCCATACACAGAAAGGAAGCAACTATATTTGCCGGGAAGAGAACCGAAGGGCTTCTGAATTTGTAGGTGTTGTTAAGCACAAATGTGTCATGTTACTACATCATGTTATAGAGCTGGCGGTAAAACCTCCCAAAATTGTCATGGAGACAAATGCAAAGAAATAAAGATTCAAATCAGATGCCTTTGATCTGTAATGAACAGACCAAGAGAAATCAACCATTATGGAAAGAGTGATAGTTAAATGTAGTAGTAAATTCCACGCTGAGGTGAGAGGGAAGTTCCATCTGACAGCTCACTTTCACCTCTGCGAAAACTTCAGAGCACAGACTAAGAGCAGACAGTGAACTTAGGGCAAGTGGGGGCCAGATGTTTGAGGAGGCTAGAGAGTGAGCTGGAATCCTTGTGAGCCATTCGGAGAAGCAGCAGTGTGCAAGGGTGTATTGAGTCCTCCTGAGTTAACAGATGCTGAATAGATACCAGTTTCACTGCCTTCATTTTGATTTATCCTCAAGACTCTATTGGATTTCTAGATTTGAACACTGGAAAAGCTGATGAAACTCAACATGACTAGGAATATTTCTGGGAAGATTTATGTAATGATGTGAGTGTATTTAAAATTAGGTTATGAAAATTTCATTATCTAAAATGTTGGTATCAGTATCTATTAATTTGTTCTTTTTTTCTTAGAGACAGGGTCTTGCTCTGTCTCTCAGGCTGGAATGCAGTGTCATCTATGAATTTTATAGTATTAAAAATGATCACCCTGATTAATGTTACCATATTATGCCCTTGAGGGATTTTGCTCCATGTGTGCCTGTGACATAGTTCTAGTCACAGATGCAGGAGAAGTGGTCTGTTGAGGCAATTCTTCCTCCTCAGAGGAGAATATAAACTGTCATCTCCTCACCTTGCTTATTCCATTTTCAGAATTGCACATGACCTTTGGGAATGCTGTCACCATGTCTTACAGGGTGGGAGTCGACTGTGGTATGAAGGTGGAATGGAGAAGTGTAATTTTGGGAAAATACAGAACCTGGGCAGATAAAGTTTTGAATTAATTGGGCCTGGAGCCACTCACATCCTGGTGTCTTGTTGAATTGTTTGTCATTTTAAATTCTGGTTATTTAGTTCAAGTTTCCTTGATTCTCTTTCTGCTAAAATAGTCATTCATAATCATCTAAATAAACTGGAAAAAAATTACTAATTTGAAAATTAACCTCATTTCTGCTAAGGTCAAAATCAGTTTGCGAGGCACAGAGTGATGGGCATGGACATAGCAGATTACCAAGATTGCATTCACAGCCTAGGTAATCACTATGTTTTATTTTAATTAGGAAACACTTCTGTACATTCCTTATATTTATTAAACTCCTGTTGAGAAACTTCAACTGTTATATGTTGATAGATCCTCCCAATAATAAAACTAAATGTTTTAAAACAGGAATTCCTATTACAATGTTAGCTTTACTTTAGGACACATTTCTTCACCTCATTTGAAATTCGCCCAGATGCACTGATTACAGTGTGTCAGTTAAGAAACGACCAGGAAATGAGATCACGTTTCTGGAGCAGGACATGGCTTTGGGATGCTTTGCAAACAAAGTGGTTTCTCATGTCTTCTTGAAAATCCATTGAAATGGGGAAGTTAAGGACCTCTTAGAAGCACTCTTCCACCCCATATACTTGACTAATAAAAAGGTGGAAGTCAGTGCAGAAAAATAGATAACATGAAAGCTAAAGTAAGATTTGTACCAGTTCGTTGTGCCAAACATGTAATCTTAACCTAGAGTGGGATCTTAGCTGAACCCTCAGGAGGTAAATTTCCTGAGAGATTCAAAGATGTCTTTACAAAATAACAACACTTAGCCCCCGATTTTAAGTTAAAATAATGGAAAACTCCTGGTAATCTACTTCACTTAGTGTAAATCAGTTAAAAACAAAATTCTGGAAAACCTGTGAAGGTGGGACTTGCCGAGGAACTGAGCCTTGGGGGCCTTTGGACACTTTTAGTAGGATTTTCTTCAGCTTTGACTCTCCATGGAATTTGAACAAGTTTCATTTACTGTCTACTGTTTCTCTGAATGACTTGAAGTAATTACTTGACAAAAGCCTACAGCCTTCTCAGTTGATAAACATGTTTTATGTTTTCAACCTGTGACATGCCGATGTTTTCATCAGGTAACTGAAGCACAGCCACTACAGGAAGCAATTGTTATAAAGTGATTCTGTAAGGTATTTCCATTATCAAATGCTGAACCGCTATTACCAGCAACAATATTCTGCAAATGTTGAAAAAAATGGCATTGCTACATAGAATTAATCACAAATTTTAAAACATTTTCTTATATTTATTGTTTAAATTCATAAGCATGGAATGTTTATTTTTCCATCTATTTGTTTTATCTCTGATTTTTTTCACCTGTGTTTTGCTGTTTTTCTAGTAGAAATATTTCATCTCATTGGCTTAGCTCTATTCCTAGGTATTCCACTGTCTTGGTGGCTATTGGGAGAGCAAGTTCTTGATTCCACTCTCAGCCAGAACGTTGTTGGTGACTAGAAATGTTACTGTGATTTTTGTACATTGATTTTATATCCTGAAACATTCCTAAACTAATGTATCAATACTAGGAGACTTTTGGCAGAGCCTTCAATATTTTCTACATATAGAATCATATTATCAGTGAAAACAGAGGGTTTGCATTCTTCTTTTTCTTTTATTTGGATGCCTTTTATTTCTTTCTCTTGCCTGATCTGGTGAATACTTCCAGTACTAGGCTGAATAGAAGTGGTGAGAGCGGGCATCCTTGTCTTGTTTCTGTTCTTAAGGAAAATGCTTCCAGTGTTTGCCCATTCAGTATGATGTTGGCTGTGGGTTTGTCATAGACGGCTCATCAGATTGAGGTGTGCTCCTTCAATGTCTATAATTTTGAGGGTTTTTATCATGAAGCATTGTTAGATTTTATTGAAAGCTTTTTTTCCTGCATCTGCTGGGATACTCACATGGTTTTTGCTTTTGATTCTGTTTAGTAGAGCATCACATTTATTGCTTTGCATAGGTTAAAGCAGCCTTGCATCTGCAGAATGAAGCCTACTTGATTGCAGTGTGTTAACTTTTTGATAAACTACTGGATTTGATTTCCTACATTGAGAATTTTTAAGCCTATGATCATGAGAAGTATTTGTCTTGAGCTTTCATCTCTTATTGTGTCTCTGCCATATTTTGGTATAAGGCTGATGCTGGCTTCACAGATTTAGTTGAGAAGGAGCCTCTATGCCTTGATTTTCTTTGTGTAGCTTCAGTAGAATTGGCATCAGTTCTTTTTTGTATGTCGGGTAGAATTCAGCTGTGAATTCTTCTTGTCCAGGTTTCTTTTTCTTGGTTGGGTCTTTATTATTGACTCAATTTTAGAAGTTGGTTTCACTGTATTTAGGGTTTCAATCTCTCCCTGATTCAATATTGGGAGATTTTGTGCTTCCCAAAATTTACTCATTTCCTCCAGATTCTCTAACACGTGTGCATAAAGTTTATAGTAGTCTGAGAATTTGTGCATTCTTCTGGGATCAGTTGTAATATCCCCTTTGTCACTTTTGATTGTACTTATTTGGATCTTCTTTTTCTTTATCTTTCTAAATCCAGACAGGTGTCTATCAGTCAATCTTTATTTTACAAAGAAGAAACTCTTGGGCTTATTGATATTTTGTATGCATTTTTGTATCTGAATTTCATTCAGTTCTTCTCTAATTTTCCTTTTCTGTGCTAGCTTTGAGATTATTTTAGTTCCTTTAGGTGCAAGGTTAAGATTACTAATTTGAGAACTTTCTAACTCCTTGATGAAGTCATTTATGACTATCAACTTTTATGGTGCCCAAATAAATTACCAGATTCAATGCTATTACTATAAAACTACCAACATTATTTTTAAAGCATTAGAAAAAAAACTTTTAAAATTTATGTGGAATCAAAAAAAGAGTTTTAAAAACAAAAGCAATCTTAAGTAACAAGAATACATTCAAAGGTATCCCACTAGAAGACATCAAATTATGCTACAAAGCCACAGGAACCAAAATAGCTTGGTACTTATACAAAAAGAGACACATAGACGAGTGAAAGGGAATAGAGAATTCTGAAATAAAGCTGCACACCTACAACCATCAGATCTTACACCAAGACACTAAAAACATGCAATGAGGAAATGTATCACTATTCAATAAATCGTGCTGGGATAACTGGCTAGCCATATGCAGAAGATGGAAGCTAGATGTCTACCTTTCACCATTAACAAAAATCAACAAAAAATGGAGTAAAGATTTAAGTATAAGACCTCAAACTATAAAAATCTTGGAATACAACCTAAGAAATACTCATCTAAAAATTGTTTTGGGCAAGAAAATTTTGGCAAAGTCCCCAAGAGCAGTTGCAACAAATCAAAATTCTGTCTGTGGCACCTTATAAAACTAAGGAGCTTCTACAGAGCCAAGAAACTATCAAGAGAGTAAGCAGAGATCCTACAGAATGGGGGAGGCTATTCACAAACTATGCATTTGATGAAGGTCCAATATCCAGATTCTATAAGAAATGTAAATCAACAAGCAAAAATAATAATAATAATCACATTTTAAAAATAGGCAAATGACATGAGCATAAACTTCTCAAAAATACATAAAGTGGCCAGGACATATGAAAAAACGTTTAACGTCACTAATCATCAGAGAAATGCCAATCAATCAAAACCACAATGAGATGCTGTCTCACACCAGTCAAAATCAGTATTACTAAAAATTAAAAAAAAAACAAAACAGATGCTGGTGAGGCTACGGAGAACAGGAAACGCTTGTACAGTGCTGGGTGGAATGTGAATTAGTCCAAGCACTGTGGAAAGCAGTCTGGAGAGAGGCTGCGGAGAACAGGAAACACTTGTACAGTGTTGGGTGGAATGTGAATTAGTCCAAGTACTGTGGAAAGCAGTCTGGAGTGAGGCTGCAGAGAACAGGAGACACTTGTACAGTGTTGGGTGGAATGTGTATTAGTCCAAGCACGGTGGCAAGCAGTCTGGAGTGAGGCTGCGGAGAACAGGAAACACTTGTACAGTGTTGGGTGGAATGTGAATTAGTCCAAGCACTGTGGAAAGCAGTCTGGAGATTTGAAAAGTATTTGAAGCAGAGCTGCCACTTGGTCCAGCCATCTCATATGTGGGTATATACACAAAAGAAAATAAATCAGTCTACCAAAAAATACACCCACTTACATGTTCATTGCTATGTTACTCTTAATACTTAAGACATAAATCCAACCTATGTGTCCATTAATGGTGAATTTGATCAAGAAAATATGGTACATTTACACCATGGAACACTATGCATTCATAGAAAAAGAATAAAATCATGTCTTTTGTGGCAACATGGATGCAGCGGGAAGTCAACATTCTAAGAAAGAGATGATGAGAGTCAATGGGAGATGAAGCTGATGTTTTGGGTGTGCCTGTGTGTAAAATTGAGAAAAGAAATCACCTGGGCACATAGACTCTTAAAATAGCCAAGTCTGGAGCCACTCATATCCCAGTTTCCATTTCATTAGGTTTTAATCTTCCTCATTTTTAGTGAGTTAAATTTGCTTTTCTTTACTCTTGGCTAAAATAACCACACATCCTGAATTAGAGGCATTGCAATCAAAACGTCGTATTTGAAGCTTCCAAGTCCCAAGTTAGGTCAAAGTTAGTATGGGATTCAGTGTGATAGATAGGAGACATGGCTGGATACTAAGAATGGGCTCAGAGTTATTTTACCTAAATTAGGAAAATTTGTTCACTTCCCTTATATTAGATTTCATTGGAAACCTTTGATCTAATATCATCTCTGATAGATTATACCTCAATAATTAAGCTGGAGGTTATGAATTAGTAATTTAAATGAATAGTGGAAACCTCCATTTAGAATATATTTCTCTACCAAGTGTAAAGTTAGCTCAGATGGCAGAAATAACTGCACTCAGCAGAGCTTGTCAATAAGGCAAAGACATACACAAATACATTTATTGCAAGGGTAGTGCATGACTTTGAAGTGATCTGACTTTGAAGTGACACAAAAGGATTCTCACATCTTCTAGAACACATCAAAATGGACAAGGGAAGGAATTGTAAATGCAGTCCTAAGTCCTAGAGACCTGACTAATATAACATAGGAAGTAAAGGCAAAGAAAAAAGTAGCATAAAAACTAAAATATATCTGTAACTCTATCTATCCATCTATGTATTTATGTGTCCAACTATATCTCTATCAAGGTATGTATGTATGTATGTATGTAGGCATCTATCTTCTATCTGTTTATCCATAGTAGTGGATCATTATGCAAAGCAAGTAGCTCTAAAATTGTTTATAATACTATCTAAAATAGCATAATTGGGTGGAGAGACCAGTGTGTTCTCATTTTTAATGTAATAAACTTACATACAATTAGATACATAAGTAGTTTCAATGAGTCCATAAACATGGGTTCATATAAACATGTACATTTACTAGACATATAGGTTGAGAGGTCCTAGAAGTACTTATAACACCTTAACAACACACATATCCAGTATCACAATTTTTAATTTTAACACTATTCTTTAACATCGGAAATAATCAATCTTTAGGAAAAACGGCTAATCCTATGTATGAGAAAGATAATGTAGAAAATGAACTTAGAATTAATTGTAATATCAGGAAACAGGGAAGTGTTCAAAAACAAAAGGATGAGGTGTGCTGTAAGGATGCAGGATCCAAACTAAATGAGCTCCTAGCACCTAATAAAGCTGTGGTGACATGAACAATAAAATGAATGATGTAGCAAGGATCATCTTCAGAGCATGAAATAGACATCCGTAAACTAATACGGATATTAATAGATTATTAAATAAATAAATAATGGGAAGAAGAACACATCTCTTTGCAGAAGTATTCCAAATATGTTAGCTTGATAGTCCTGTAATCAAGTGAGTGAAGCTTAAACACTCATGAGTTGATTGTGGCCTGAGATTAGAGACATGGAAAAAAAATCACTATTATTGTATTTTATAATGGTATTTCAGATATAATGCCAAAGACATGATCTGTGGATGAATAAAATTTTACATTTTTAAAATCTAAATTGGTATAAACATGCACACATATTTTTCTGCAATACACGCTAAGGGTGTAAAAGACAGCCACAGACTTGGAGAAAATACTTCCAAGTCACGTATTTGTTAAATGAGTTATTTTAGTTTGTTAAATCACTTTTATAATTAATATGCAAGTTAACTTACAACTAATCAAAAGAAAACAATGCATTTAAAAATGAACTAGATCTCAGGCAAGGTACCTCACCAAAGATTATTTGAACATTTTTAAGTAGGAACTTTTTATTAGGGACATGTACGTGTAAATAAAAATTAGATACCATTACTCACCTATTAGGATGTTTAAAACACACAATTCTCATAATGAAAAATGGCAATATGAATGTGGAAAATCAAGAACCATCATGCATTGATGGTGGGAATTCAAAATGCTACATGCACAAAATGAGGTTTTGGGGGGCATTTTTAAAATAGAGATAAAAGTAGAGTTAAAATTTGATTCATTTGTGTGTTCCAAAATATTTACAACAGTGATTCAGAAATTGATGTTTACAAAGATACCTACAAAGGAAGTTCTGTATCAGTTTTATTAATTCAATCCCTGAAATTTGCTTACAGAATAAATGTTGTATGAAAAATCTTTCAAATAATTAAAATTTCTCAAATACACATTTATATTGTTCCTTTTCTTTAGTGACTTAATGTTATTTTCTGAGAAAGTCTTCAATCTAATAATCTTTGTCATCTCCTCCATGCCAGCACAGCTGCCTCCTCCCTGGGGTTTCTGACACTCTCAGGATGTGGGTTTTCACTCTGTGTCTCTCGCACAGTAATACACGGCCATGTCCTCAGATCTCAGGCTGCTCAGCTCCGTGTAGGCTGTGCTCATGGACGTGTCCCTGGTTATGGTGACTCTGCCCTGGAACTTCTGTGCATATGTTGTGTTACCATTGCCAGCATTGATCCATCCCATCCACTCAAGTCCTTGTCCAGGGGCCTGTCACACCCAGTGCATAAAGTTGTTGGTGAAGGTGTATCCAGAAGCCTTGAAGGAGACCTTCACTGAGGACAGAGGCTTCTTCACCTCAGCCCCAGACTGCACCAACTGGTCCTGAGAGTGCGCACCTGTGGGGAGGATACAGTAGTGGATGAGATCTTTCAGAAATGGACACAATCCCCTTCTCATCACTGGGACTTGGGAGTCCCTTACCTGTAGCTGCTGCCACCAAGATGTTCCTCCAGGTCCAGTCCACGGTGAGGCACTGAGCTCTAAGGAGATTCTGCAGAAGAGGCATGTGGTTGTTGGATGATGCGCTTAGGGCACAGACACATCCATATTTACCTCAGTGCATCTCAGGTTATTTGCATATTCATGAGACAGACGATTTCATAGCTCAAAGCCTGATACATGATAAGAAAGGGAAGATAAATGACACATCAGCCTTACAAGAGTGAGATGCAAATGGTCTAAGCCCTAATCTTACTTGAGAAAATGCGTGCCCTGCTCTATTTACCAACATTTGTGTACAGAGGTCCTTTCACTGAAGAGTAAGCCCTCTCAGAACAGGCTCCTCACTGTGAACCTACATGTGATTAGTATAGAGGCCGCCTGGATTATTTTTGGGACCATCACTGTCTATGACACTGAGCACGTGCCTTGGCCCTATCCTGGACCTGTCAGGCACCAGCACAGCTCACTGGTGACTCTGGAAAGGTGACTGCTGATGTCCCTCTGAGATCTACTGGGCCCTCCTGAGACAGTGTCTCCAGCACGTGCCTCATGTCCTGATCCCCCAGGATCTTCAATAGAAACGCTCTTGTTTTACGTATTTGCCCTGTGATGCATAATTACAGCTGATTTTCTCATCTCAGGAACAATGGGAATCAGAAGAGGTAACAGGAGTTTGAAGTTCTTTATGAACTCTCTACTCTCAAAATAATTGTCAATGAATTTGTGTTTTGAATAATTTTGGGTTACTTTTCAACTCCATTTATTAGATTTTTGTAAAGTATTTACATACTTCCAGTTCATATCCATAGATCTGTATCTTTACATATTGATTTTTGACTCACTTGGTCTGTGCACCTGCCACACCCTCAGATCCATCACTGCCCTGTCATTCACACAATGTAGGCAACATTACTTAACACTGAAATCTGAATTTCTTATTCATAGGAATATAGTTTCTTCAACTAATCGGTACCCATTGAATTAGTAAAAACATGCCCATCCTTCATATTCTCACTATTAAGATATTACAGTCCTAGAAACTCACTTTAAAAAATAGCTCTCATTATCTTAAGTTATATGAATGGTTTGGATGTACTAGAATATTTAAAGCACGTCAGCTACTTCTTGAACAGTTATTTTAGATTGTTTTTTTCCTGACAAAGGAAGACCAAGGCCCTGAGAGAAAACCTCCTCCCCGGCCTCCTGTGCACCTGCTCTGGGGCTGGAACTTGTGCTTGGTGGCTCCCAAGTGCCCCCTCCAGCCGAGCCCTTGCCTTGCCATGAGGTTTCTGTTGTAGCTCACAGGCATTTTACCCCACAGTCTCTAGCTCAGCATGAAGTGGGTGTGTCCTGGTTTAGAATACTCCTTCAGTAACACAATGTACTGAATACTCCTTCAGTGACACAATGTACTGCTGACACCATGTCTTTTAAGAATTGAAGAGCCTTATTAAACCTATTTAACTCTACAGGGAGACCCAAAGCAAATATTCTATGACACAGAGTGGAACACCTTCTCTGAAACTTCACATTTCCTGAGTCAGTGGACACGAAATGAATACAAAAACTTGTAGGATTTTGGGAGTGCCTTGTTTCGTCCTTGAGCTCTTGCAGTTGAATGTTACATCTAAGAATACCTGCAGGTTCAAATACACTCAGAATAAAACCAACTTTGTATCTACTATTCCAATAACACATATTTTTCTTTCTTCTTAGTTTCTAGCCTATAAAAATTGCCTCCTACACTGACACTAGGCCTAGGCTTATTTTTTTTTATTATTATACCTTAAGTTCTAGGGTACGTGTGCACAACGTGCAGGTTTGTTACATATGTATACATGTGCCATGTTGGTGTGCTGCACCAATTAACTCGTCATTTACATTAGGTATATCTTCTAATGTTATCCCTCCCCACTACCCCCACCCCACGACAGGTCCCGGTGTGTGATGTTCCCCTTCCTGTGTCCAAGTGTTCTCATTGTTCAATTCCCATCTATGAGTGAGAACATGCGGTGTTTGGTTTTTGTCCCTGCGATAGTTTGCTGATAATGATGGTTTTCAGCTTCATCCATGTCCCTACAAAGGACATGAACTCATCTTTTTGTATGGCTGCATAGTATTCCATGGTGTATATGTGCCACATTTTCTTAATCCAGTCTATCATTGATGGACATTTGGGTTGGTTCCAAGTCTTTGCTATTGTGAATAGTGCCACAATAAACATACGTGTGCATGTGTCTTTATAGCAGCATGATTTATAACACTTTGGGTATATACCCAGTAATGGGATGGCTGGGTCAAATGGTATTTCTAGTTCTAGATCCTTGAGGAATCGCCATAGTCTTCCACAATGGTTGACCTAGTTTACAGCCCCACCAACAGTGTAAAAGTGTTCCTATTTCTCCACATCCCCTCCAGCACCTGTTGTTTCCTGACTTTTAAATGATCGCCATTCTAACTGGTGTGAGACGGTATCTCATTGTGGTTTTGATTTGCATTTCTCTGATGGCCAGTGATGACGAGCATTTTTTCATGTCTGTTGGCTGCATAAATGTCTTCTTTTGAGAAGTGTCTGTTCATATCCTTCACCCACTTTTTTGTCTTAGAGATCTAAGGCAAATAGAATACAAGTGGAGACTTGGGAAGTGCATGAATATTTTTTTTTTTTTTGAGATGGAATCTTGCTCTGTCGCCCAGGCTGGAATGCAGTGGCACGATCTCGGCTCACTGCAAGCTCTGCCTCCCGGGTTCACGCCATTCTCCTGCCTCAGCCTCCCAAGTAGCTGGGACTATAGGCGCCCGCCACCCTGCCTGGCTAATTTTTTGTATTTTTTAGTAGAGATGGGGTTTCACCGTGTTAGCCAGGAAGGTGTCGATCTCCTGACCTCGTGATCCACCTGCCTTGGCCTCCCAAAGTGCTGGGATTACAGGCGTAAGCCGCAGTGCCCGGCCAAGTGCATGCATTTTTTTTCTCAGCTAGGAACCCTGCAAATGCCCTATGATAAAAGAATCTGAGGTCAATGGATTTGCCAATATCTTTTCTTCAAAAAATATATGTCAGAGGCTTCAGATTTCCCTACTGTCCTTGTCATATTCTCTGCCATTGTGTTTCAGTTTTCCTATGTTCTCCTCAGATAGAGTCTGCGCATTGTCACACTTTCATCTTTAACCCAGATTAACTATCCTGCTGAGAAAACAAAACGTGCATCCTGGAAGTATTATATGTTCTTACAATTGAATCTTAATAATTCAGTCATCTTTTTTTCTCTGGGCTGTGGCCTATACACAGAGTCTCCAGAAATGGAACTGACACTTTCCTTTTTCTGGCTACAACATTATAGGATTATTTCTCTATTGGCTAATTTTATCCACTTTCGTGATAAAGGAAGGCTGCTTGAAGGGGTCTGTAATGGAGATGGACTACCTTAGCCAACATAGATAATGTTCTAGATATGTATTTCTCCTGTATGTTCTATCTGGATATATTTATCTGTGTATTTCTCAGAGAGTAGGAACTTTGATGACTTATCCAGGAAAGGATCTATGTCAATTTTCACCCAAAGAACCTGGAGGTTCCAGGAGGAAATATAAATGAGTTTGGGGTCTATGAGATCTCTCACCCTCACACTAGTTCAGACATGCCCTTTCTGTTTATTTAGTTCAGATTTACATATAACAAACCACACAGCCAGGCTCATCTAAATTGCCACATGCTTGTTTAAACACATTGGAGCAGCATTAATCCTCACATTAATCTCAGAGAATCTTGGTTCCAGTCCACTGTTTACGTTAGTTGAGAGCAGCATCAGGGACACACTGGAGTGGATATTTCTTCCCGAAAAAAGCCTCACTCCCAAGTATACTAAAGAGTTGCCATGGAGCCATTGTGTGGTTGGATTTCTTCTTATCAGCCTGTCATGGAGGATATTTTGAATGATGTAGACTTTACACTTAGATGGTAATGACTCCCATTGTTGTTGAAATGGCTGGCAGCCCACAATCCTGTTTCTCCTCTCAACTCACCTGAATGTCTCCAAGAATCCCATGAACCTCAGGACTCTCCTTGTTAGATGACTCTGAGGATTGTTAGTCTGCTCAGTGCTACACACAGAGGTAGCTAATAGAGGATTCTCAGTCCACTGACATGTTGGGCTCATAACATAGGACACATATCCAAGAGTGGCCAATTCATGGCAATGCCAATAGATATTTAATTGAAGAGGCATTATTTTTAGTGCATCGGAGTGTGAAAGCTTCATGATTCATGGCAATAAAGCCACAGACTGAATGCTTTGCAGAAGTGAGCTCATTGTTAGAAGAGGCCTGCCCACCAAGAAGTCAGTCTCTTTAACTAAAGCACTTGAAAAATGGTGTCCTGAGACCTTGTGAAAATTCATTTCCTGGAGTAAAGAAAGGGGAAAGCTATTCTTAAATCATTGGAAGAAACCATATCAGAAATTTTATCAACACAGCAGTCAAATTCCAGTAAGTCAATGCTTGGGTTTATGTTTCACAACTCAGGAAGCAATAAAGAAATCTACATAATCGGAAGGCTACTCCAACAGAGGGAATTTTGACCTATTTAATTAATAGGCCAGTATTCACTCAAAGACACACTCCTGTGAGATCTCCAACTTAAACAGATCTCTGTAACCTGAAGAAGTTTTCTCAACAGATTCTTTTTCTCTAGACACTCGCAAATGCAAAAATACATTTTGTATATTTGTGCATGAGTGATCTAGAGAAGTCCTTGTCTTGTTAATGAAAGTTCATGGAAATATGATAACTGCATCACTTACTGTGAACTCACACTTCACTAGTCTCAAAAATTTCTCACCCATGTGATGGAGCAATGGGTGCCTCTAAGAATATGCTGATTTTTGGACTCAACATGTTCTCTTTGCTTGACTTATAGACCCATGTCTGACATCTGAGACACACCCTGGGGAGCTGTCTCCAGATAACAATAATGTAATCTTCTTCATGAACACAACTCTGCATTCCCCACATACCTCAGCCACACCTTAGGGGAGAGGTGTTAACTTCACCGTCCAAAAGCATTTTATACCCTGGAGCCTGAAAAATAATTTGGATGTGATACCACCTTGTACTTGTAATATAGAGGGCAGAGGTCAGCATCCCCCTGGATTTGAATGTGTTTTATTGTTGTATTTATTTTCTTGCAGACATGAATTACTTGCTTGACAAAAACTACAGCCATGCCAGTTCATAAAATTTTCCTTATTCTGATTTTCCCATCTGTGGCATTTGAATTTCAATATTAAGTGAGCGATGTGCATACCTCACAGGAGCAATTACAAAATAACTCTTTTTAGCTCCTTAGTGTTACTCAAATGCTGCACTGTCCTTACTGCCAAAAATCTTCTGGAAAGTTTTAAGTAAAACTGAATCATATGTTGCATCCTTAAGTTAAAAGTTGCATAACATTCAGAAACACATGAACTTTTTTGCTGAAGGTACATCTGCTAAAACTTACAACACAGGGTTTGCTTTCTCAAGGACACAAACATTATCACCGTATGACTTGATTCATCAAAAGCCCACCTATTTTCAATTACATCTTCAATATTAGACTCCGATTCATTAAATGCAGATGTAGCAAAGCATTCTAGGGGATTGACGTGCTATGCAGAAGCATTCAACAGGATGTTAAAGATGCCTTCCCACCAAATCTTCCTAATTATCTTTTTATTGTCATCAACTTGGAAATTCTTTATTTTAGAAGAGACATCAGAAAAAAGCAGCTTCAAACATTGTCAAAAGGCCTTATTATTTAACGTTATCAACAAATGCAGCAGTAACTCCAGGATGTCAATTCACAGGTTTATGAAGTGAAAATGGATGGGTTACAAAAGTTGTTTTGAGAGAACGATCCTGTAGTTGTAGAATCAATACCAAGGGTGGCATCAGTGTAAGGTTGAACTGGCAGTTTCTGGGATGATGTCCTTGCAAAAGTAATTTTTTTATAAGATGGTGGTGTCTTCTTCCCAAGATTGTGGTTAAGCAGAGTATATTTATGATAGTTCTTGTTATCAGGAATATGGGCTTAAGAACCCTCCTTCATGGTCACTCCTAGTTTCATTTGTCAGAGTTTTAATACAAGTGGCTCCATTTTGATTTTGACAACTTTCCCACTCTCTTTCTAACACTACTGGGGGGAAGGTGACCCTGTGTTAGCTTGAACAGCACAGGATAAATTCCATATCCACATCCCATTTTGACCACACAAGCTCATCCTCTTCACAACTATTGGCCACTTGCATTCCCAAGTGAGTCTCTACACAACACAGTGGAGGGTTCTGAGCAACGGGAGAGAAGGAAGTCCCATCAGCCTCTCCCACGTGGCTGCAGGAGCCACAGTCTGAGCCCCACCTGAGCTGCAGGGAAAGGGCTTGAGCAGTGGACTTTTTACAGCAAGAACCACATCTCCACTTTACAGGGATCAGGAACAGCAAAAGGAAAATCAACAACTAAAACAACTAACAAGAAATAGAATGTGCTAGGAGCAAAAGCAGCCCCTGATCAGCGCTGATACTGATTTGCATACTTTAGTGTCAGAAGAAGGGTCAGAAATAAAACCTGTGAGGTTCTACGTGACCCTGACCCTGGCCCAGCCTCTCTCTTGGCTGAGGTTAGAATTCCTAAATACTGTTTTCTTCAGGGAACCCCACTGAGGTCCCTGTCCTGAGTGTGACTGGAGAAGACTCACCGGGTTCCACTCAGCTTCCACAGGGCTGTGGCCCTGGTGACCACTGGCAGAGGGATTGTTCTGCATTTAGTGCCTGTAAGAAGGTTTCCTCCTGGTACAACAAAACTGTGGTATTTCAGAGACGTAGAGCTAGGCACAGCATCATGAAATAAGGGAGGGTCCCTGGAGGAAACATGTAGATGTAGAGGCAGCCCCACACCCTGGCAGTAAACCAGCCTCTCATCTCCACCCACACCTGCTCTGGGGCTGGCCCTGTGCTTCCTGCAACCTGCTCTTCCCCTGGTGGTCTTGAGTCCCCCTTGTGGTCCTGAGTCTTGCTGGCGGTCCTCAGTGCCCTGACAGCAAGTTTTGTGTCAGGGCTCACAAGGACACCTCCTCACTGAGTCTTTCACAGTAATACTCAGCCGTGTCCTAGCCAGCCATGGAGCTGAGCTTCAGAAAGAACTGGCTCTTGGTTGAGTCATTGTTGATGGAGATGCAGACCTGGGTAAAGGGTGCATGATGTGTATTCCTTGGTGATCTTGATGATGAGCTTGGTGATAATGATGTGTATTCCTGGTAACTGTGCCCCAGCCATTCTAATCTGTTGCCTAGGGGATGGTGGATTCAGCTCAAATAATATTGACTGGTAAAAAAAAGAACCCAGACACAGCACAGGTGGAGGGCAGTGTCTGAGGGCCTCATGGGTCCTGGACCTGACTCCTGCAGCTGCACCTGGGACAGGACACCTGGAATAAGAGGGAACATCCTGGTGAGACACACCGAGCTCACTTGTCCCCATCACCCCATTTCTTATTTCTAGATTCTGACACTGAAAAACTGTCATCCATCAAAGACATGTAAAAAGTTGATCTAATTGAGAGACAGATTAACGCCTTTCATGGGGAAATTGTGCTCAGGCTGATGACAGAGCAGTATGTAGGGAGGAGAGAGGCTGACAACACCCAGCATTGTTCTCCTAAACAGAGTTTGAGGAGAAGTGTGCATGTGCCAGGAGCCCCACATATATAAGGGGTAGGAACCACGGCTACCCTCTGTCTCAGAGCCTCTTCTCAGGGGTGATTTTCCTGCTCAGGCATCAGATCAATCGCACAGACTCTTCCTCCTCTGAAAGAGCATCCCTCTGCTGAGTGTTCAAGGCATCCATTGTCACCCCAAGGGCAGGAGGGCAGGTGACAGAAACAAGCAGGTTTGCTGGACAGAGAGGGAAGAATAGGAGTAGGAACGGGGGAAACACATGGTGCCCAGGACCTGTGGCCTACAGTCCTCCTGCTTCTTTCGGGTTCCCAGCTGGAGATAGTACACTGTGAACTTTCCTGGCAGTCGTGCTTCTGGAGGGAGGATTAGGGGAAATGCTGAGTAAGTTCTCCTCTTTGCTGAGCACAGAGTTTTCACTCTCTGTGGTATGTGGTTTTATCCCTCCCCGGTTGAGTCACCCCTGCTCATCCCTCCCTGTTGCTCCCCAGGTTTTGCTTCTTTGCTTATAGGAGAACTGACAACAGCGAGGCAAGGGATTGGGTTAGGAGGCCAAGGGCAAGTGTGGCTCCTCAGTGAAAAATGTCAAATGTAAAGTTGAGTTCCCTTCCTCTTTCCTATAAGAAAGGCTAGGGTTTGGAAATACGAGGGTCTGGAGGAGGTGACAATTGGTTCCCTTTCCCCCAAAAGAAGCCAGCCAACCAGAAATTGCTTCTTAAGAGCCTGATTTGAGACTGAGACTAAGAAGTCCAGTGGCTAAGAAGTGGTCTTTGCCCCCAGAGAGTTTGAGGTCTAATAAATTGTTATATTGTGTGGCAGAGACTGTGTGTGTTATGGAAGGACGATGGGAAAAGATGGGTATGATGAGCTGCAGCTGGCAGAAAACTCTTGGAATATGCTGGTTTTACAAGGACAAATAGGATATGTGTGTGTGTCTGTGGAAATGGAGCAGGAAGTGTGTAGCATCTGACCATGGAGTCACACTGACCTGGGCTCAAACTCCAGCTTCTCAGTTACATTCATTCATCCATCCATCTATTCATTCATTCAGCTTATAGTGATGGAAGGTCAGGAACTGTTGTAGGTTTGGGGAACACAACAGACAACACCCCTATTCTATGGAACTTTCATTGCAGTAAGGCTGCAGAGTGACCTTGGGCAACTCAACCGCCCATCCCTTAGCTTTCAAGCTGCAGTACTGCCCCCCACCTTACAGGCTGTGGATTCCAAAGAGCCGTAATGATGATGATAAAATAAGTACTATTTATTCAGCACTAACAACCTACCAATACTCTGCTAAGCATTTTGCAAGGATAATTTCCTCTACTCTTCACAACTTCCCCAGGGGACAGGGTTTTACAGGTGTGGAAACTGAGGCTTACAGAATTGAAATAATGATCCAGAATCAAGTGACAGAGACAGGATTCAAACCCAGCAATCATAACCACTGCAGTCAAGGTGGCCCACCTGAAGTGTGTTGGGAGTGGCTGGAACTGACACCTGAGGGGCTCTGTGACCCAGCAGAATTCTGTGCTTTTCCTGGGGAGAGCTTCTTCTAGGAAGAGGTGGCCACGACAGCCGATAGAAGGCTGTGACCTGAGTGCAAGCCTCATGCCAGCCACCTTCTGTATGTGAGACCGTGCTGCTTGCCAAAAGCTGTTAGTTCCTTCCATTCTGGCTGGCTGGGAGAGATTTCTCATGGTTGCGCGTGGGGAGAGTTGACATGTTTATGTGGAGGTAATGACTGTGTTGGCTCCTTAAGGAAGAATTAGGATGAGAGCCCAGTTCCCTGTTTGGGGACTTGAACTTAGATTCTCTGGTGGCCTGGAAAAGGTGGATACCTTGCAGGTTAATGTAGGAAGTTACCATCCCATGACAATTTTATTTTACTCTTCTTTCCTTTGCCCATTAGCTACTGCAAACTTAAAATTACCTATAGTGGAGAGTGGTAGTAGTCTACTTCAAAAACAGCAAATTCCCAGGGATTTGCCCTCACTTTTGGAATCTTAGCTAAATATTTTTTTCTCTATGGGATCACCCTCTTTTGCATCTGACTGAGGCAAGCCTTAAAGATCAAGCCGATGTCAGAGCAGAGGAACTGCTGTTTGGTAAGGATGCCTCAGAGATGAAAAGGGGAGGAGGGTGGTCTCAGAGAACCAGAAGAGGATTGGGAAAGTTGGCCCTGGAAGAGGACTTCTCACTCCTTCCCCAAGCCTTGCCCTGTCTCTTGACCTCCCTTGACTCCCTGCTCTTCCAGGTCAGCTTTGTCCATGCGCTGGACTGAATATTGCCAGCAGGTAGTCATAAGGACCCATGCAATCCCCCAAATCAATACTGAATACAAAGAAAGCTGTTGTTTCTGCTTCTCTGGCAGGAGAATAGGAAGTGACCACTGGCTTGAGAAGGGCTATGCTACCAAAGTAAACCATCACGGGACTGGTTCTGAAATGATCCAATTCCCTGTCTCTTTAGGATGAATCTCTTTAATCCAAGTACATTAAATTGGAATGTAGTGATCATTCAGATTCAACTAATGTTTATTTTATGAAGTGGCTACTATGAACCAAGCACTGGGATAAAGCTTTAGTACAGTTAGGCCATTTTATTCACTTGAAGAGCAAAGGGCTCAAAGTTTACCTTTCCATGATCTATGAGAAAAAAGGTTTACCAAGCAAATGAGTGCTATATGCAAGATTGTCAAGGTGAGGTTTTAAACCACTTACAAGGACAAACTGCTTCCCAGAAGCCTGCCAATGCTTCTTAAGTACTCCCTTGTGTGGGCAAACACAGATCCAGGAGACAAACGGGAAGGACCTAGGACAAAAAGTCAGCAGGCTAGATTCCACTTCTAGTTCTGCACTGAAGTAGTCACATGCCTGCTATTGCATGGTGTCATCTAGTCCCCATTTCTTGTCCACAAAACTAGCATGAGCCCCCCACAAAAGCCTTGCTGAGCAAGGGGTTCAGTGTGCCCCTTTTGCATAAAAAAGGGAGAAAATAAGAATAAACATGCACACACATTTGTATTTGCTTCCATGTTCACAATGACATCCATAAGCTTATTCAAGAAATTAATAATCATGGTTACCTATGGGGAGTGGAGAGGTAGGAGTGAGACCTGGGCAGATGGAGACATAGATGGGAGGAAGATTCCTCCCCAAGGATATATTGGGTTTTGTTGAACCGTAGGAATACATTACCCATTTAAAAATTTAATTCGTGGGAAGGGCCTCCTAAAATCCAGACATAATACTATGTAGAACTTCCAAACAAAAAGAAAGTCACGTTGGTATTACCTGTTCTATTATACTGATGTTGGCTCTTCCTAATCATTCGTTTTTTTTCTAAGTGCTCCCACTATCCTTAAATTGTTCATTTCTAGATTCTTGCCTGGGGTGGATGATATTCCTCAGTGCCAGGTCACTGGGCAGAGATTTTTCACTGTATTGGATCTCTTCTGCTTTCTCTACTTTCTTATTTGTGAAAATATGTGTGCATACAGACATACACACATGTGCACACACACATGCACGTGCACACACACACACACACGAGCTGACTCCCTTAAACCAGGTAGCTGACCTCCATGGGTCCACACTCTGGGTCCAAACTCAACTGAAGGAAAGTGAACTGAAGGAGGCATTTGTGAATTTGATTCTCCAACCTAAGGACTTTGCTTTTCAAACCAAGGGTGTTCAGAAGGGCACAGACTGCAGAACATGAAGACTTCTGTTACCATTAACATAGTTCCCTGGCTCCATGAGGCATGAACAGCCTCTCTGAGAATGCACCAACAACTCAGCACGCCTTGTAAACAGGCCACAATTATAGAGCTTGGTTTTGACTTTTTTTCCAGGGCCTTAAAGTTGATATATTTTTACATTTCCCTGGATTGGAGGGTAGGGGGCATGGCTTTGGGTTTAGCATTTGCTCTGCTGATTATCTCTTGGCTCTGTGAAAAACCTTGGCAGTGCTGTGGGGAATTGGTGCGGTGGGGAATGGAGGCTTGAAGAGTCAGTTGACCTGCAGACCAAGATAGAGCTGAAGGTGGAAACTTGGATGAAACCTTTAGGCTGTCCCTTCCAGTCCTCAGCGAGAACCTAGGGATCACCATGTGCAATGCTATGTGGATGTGGCGTGTCACACCACAGGCACCAGAGGGAGTTTCTGAGGTTGCAGAGGTGACTGGGCAATATCTTCCAAGCTCCCTGGTGTATTCTGGTTTGGCCAAGCAATGTGTTGCTGCAAGAGCTGAAGGAAAAGTCAACACATGGGAAGGAAAAGCAATCCATTGGGTGACTACATTAATGGATGGGGAGAGACTTCTAGGACACAGACTTTGGCAAAATATGGTCATCATAAAGAAAATGGCTGAGTATATCTCTAGGCTTTCGAGTATTGTCATTTGCACTGTGTTATTTTTCCCTCCAAGGGGTTATTTGGGGAAAATTGTATACATCCCAGGGTTGAACTTCCAAACAAATGCAAGCTGCAACCAGCCCCAGAGCTACATATGGGCATGTCCCTGGGTGGCTTTAGAAAAGCGTAGTTCTCTCTGTGCTCAGCTCAACCTGCCCCCTCTGCCCTGAGACGCACACACACACACACACACACACACACACACACACACACACACACACACACACACCACTCCCCCCGCCCCCCCACCCCCACAGTTCCTTCCCTTGCAGAAGAGATGAGAAAACCTCTCTTTCTTTCTACTGTAGAGCAATTCCTTTGGAGGACAAAGACTGTTGCAATGAGCTTTTTGTCTCGGCAGAGTTTGCTAATACATTTAAAAATATTTATTGTGAATGGGTTGGAGGAGGTTGCTGTGGGAAGCCCTGTGTGTTATGTATACCTTTGCATGCTTCAGCAATGCCTGCCCAGTGCTTTGGGGACTCAGCAGATGTCCACAGATGATGATAGTGACTTTGAGGAACCCCCATATTTCTTGAATTTTTCATAATGAGTGTAGAAAGAGGTCCCAGCACTGGAAAGGAAGGTGGGGAGCTGTTCCCCTCATTGCTTACAGTGGTCTACCTCTTGTAAACACAAACCTCTACCTTGAGGAGCACCTTTCTGAGGTCAAGTGTGCTTCTGAGAGGGCAGGTGCCAGCCATGCATCACAATCTAGGGAGGTGGGAAGTGTGAAGTTGCATGGAGGCAGGGAACCTGGGCTCTAGACACGACTCTGCCTCTAACATTCTGTGGAAACCTCAGGCTTCTGTCACTTTGAGCCTTGGTTTTCCATGGGTAAAGTGAGACCATGGAGACCCACCTCACATAATTGTTGAGAGGATTGTTTAAAATACATGTTTTGGCCAGGTGTGGTGGCTCACACCTGTAATCCCAGCGCTCTGGGAGGCTGAAGCAGGAGGATCACTTGAGACCAGGAGTTCGAGATCAACGTGGGCAACATAAAGAGACCTCATCTCTATAAATTTTTTTTAAAAAATTAGCCAGGAATGGTGGTACAAGCCTCTAGTCCCAGCTACTTGGGAGGCTCTGGTGGAAGGATTAACTGGGTCCAAAAGTTCAAGGCTGCAGTGAGCTATGATTGTGCCACTGTACTCCAGCCTGGGCAATAGAGTGAGACCCCATCTCTAAAATAAATAAATTTAAAAAATTAATACATGTGGAACATTTCAAAAACATGAAATAATAGGGAAAACAATGTAGTGAAACTTCATTTTCTCTCATCCAACTTCAGTAATTGCCAGCTCCCAGTTTTGTGTCATCTCTATTCCCACTCCCAGCCCCTTCCCATTACCCCTCAATGCCAGAATATGAGGACTTCATGGCATGGAACAGTGGCATGGAAGTGCCCTCCAGAGTATCTAACACATAGCAGATGCTTAGAAAATGTTTGTGGAATCTGAACTATTTAATAGTACATGCTTTATAATTATTACCTACTGTAGCATGGCGAGAGGGTACAGTATTTCTCACTGCCTTATGGATGAGATGACCTAGTCTCAGGTCAAGTGACTTGCCTAAGATCATGCAGCCACATAGGAATATGGTGCTATCCTAGAACCATGGTTTCCAAATCCCACACGTGTACTCTTGGCAGTATGCTCTGCTGCCTCTGTGTTGATTTTTCCTTTTGAATATCTTCTTAGAGAGGAATAGGAGACTTGTAAAGTTTTATGTGGGCTCACAGTTTAAAGAGAACCTGTTTATGGGGTTGTAATAACCATGTATTCACGGACACAACTGCTTATGTCTGCAAAAGATCAGCAATTCATCAGACACTTTGTGAGTTATTTTCTTCTCTGATTGTCAGAGTGAAAGGTGAGTAAGATCACTTCTCTCAGGGAGCTCACAGTCATATGCACTGAGTCACATGACATAGAGTGGAGCGTGATGAGCGTAATGGCAACAGCATGAACCAAGTACTGAGGGTGCATGGAGGAAGGTTGTTTAACTCCTAGCTTCTGTCTTCATTAAGAATTATCAATACTTCCAGCCATTTATGACAAACCCACAGCCAATATCATCCTGAATGGGCAAAAGCTGGAAGCATTCCCCTTGAAAACCAACACAAGGCAAGGATGCCCTCTCTCACCACTCCTATTCAACATAGTATTGGAAGTTCTGGCTAGGACAATCAGGTAAGAGAAAGAAATAAAGATATTCAAATAGGAAGAGAGGAAATTGAATTGTCTTTGCAGATGACATGCTCCTGTATCTAGAAAACCCCATCATCTCAGCCCCAAAGCTTCTTAAGCTGATAAGCAACTTCAGCAAAGTCTCAGGATACACAATCAATGTGCAAAAGTCACAAACATTCCTATACACCAACAACAGACAAGCAGAAAGCCAAATCATGAATGAACTCCCATTCACGATTGCTACAAAGAGAATAAAATACCTAGGAATACAGCTAACAAAGGGAAGTGAAGGACCTCTTCAAGGAGAACCACAAACCATTGCTCAAGGAAATAAGAGAGGACACAAACAAATGGAAAAACATTCCATTCTCATGGATAGGAAGAATCAGTATTGTGAAAATGGCCCACAGTAAGTTGTAGACTCAATGCTATTCTCATTAAGCTACCATTGAAATTCTTCACAGAATTAGAAGAAACTATTTTAAAATTCATATGGTACTAAAAAAAGAGCTTGTATAACCAAGACAATCCTAAGCAAAAAGAGCAAAGCTGGAGGCATCACGCTACCCAACTTCAAACTGTACTACAAGGCTACAGTAACCAAAACACCATGGTGCTGGTACAAAAAAAGGCACACAGACCAATGGAACAGGATAGAGAACTCAGAAATAAGACCATACATCTACGACCATCTGATCTTCGAGAAATCTGACAAAAGCAAGCAATGGGGAAAGGATTCCCTATTTAATAAATGGTGCTGGGAGATCTGGCTAGCCGTATGCAGAAAATTGAAACTGGACCCCTTTCTTACACCTTATACCAAAAGTAATTCAAGATGGATCAAATAGTTAAATGTCAAAGCCAAAACTATAAAACCGTAGAAGAAAATCTAGGCAATACCATTCAGGACATAGGCACAGGCAAAGATTTCATGACAAAATTGCTAAAAGCAATTTCAACAAAAGTGAAAATTGACAAACAAGATCTAATTAAACCAAAGAGCTTCTGCACATGATAAGAAACTATTGCAGAGTGAGCAGGCAACCTACAGAGTGGGAGAAAATTTTTGCAATTTATCCATCTGATAAAGGTTTAATATCCAGAATCTGCAAGGAGCTTAAACAAGTTTATAAGAAAAAAAAATACTAAAAAGTAGGGAAAGGACAGGAATGGACACTTCTCAAAAGAAGACATTCGTGCAGCCAACAAACATATGAATAAAAGCTCAACATCACTGATCATTAGAGAAATGCAAATCAAAAACCACAATGAGACACTATCTTACACCAGTCAGAATAGCTACTATTAAAAAGTCAAAAAACAACAGATGCTGGTGAGGTTGCAGAGAAACAGGAATGCTTTACACTGTTGGTGGGAATGTCAATTAGTTAAACTATTGTGGAAGATAGTGTGGAAATTCCTTAAAGATCTAGAACCAGAAATACCATTTGACCCAGCAATCACATTACTGAGTATATACCCAAAAGAATATAAATCATTCTATTACAAAGATACATTCACATGTATGTTCATTGTAGCACTATTCACAATAGCAAAGACATGGAATCAACCCAAATGTCCATCAATGATAGACTGGATAAAGAAAATGTGATACATATATACCATGGAATACTATGCAGCCATAGAAAGGAATGGGATCATGTTCTTTGCAGGGACATGGATGGAGCTGGAATTCATTGTCCTCAGCAAACTAATCCAGGGATGGAAAACCCAAACACCGTGTGTTCTCACTTATAAGTGGGAGCTGAACAAATGAGAACACATGGACACAGGGAGGGGAGCAACACACACTGGGGCCTGTCAGGAGATGGAAGGGGGTAGGGAGAGCATTAGGCAAAATATCTAATGGATGCTGGGCTTAATACCTAGGTGATGGGTTGATAGGTGCAGCAAAATACCATGGCACACGTTTACCTATGTAACAAACCTGCACGTCCTCCACACGTACCCTGGAACTTGAAATAAAAATAAACATTTTTTAAAAAGAGCTATCAATACTTCCAAAAGTTGTGACCCTGGAACCATGGCAATTTGTACTCACGCTTATACAATCCTAGAAGCTGACTACTAGGTTTAATCTTTTCATGAACTAGGAGTCTTCATTAGGTCAATGTACCAGATTAACAATGACCACACCAGGAGAGGTGCCATCTATTTATCTATTAATCAATATTAACACTGAAATTTTAGGCCAACTGTAAAGAGCTAACCAACTGTGAAGTGTGGGAACTTGATCTACACTTCTGACAGCAATTGCAAATTCAAGGGTCCCGATAATTTGTTAGAAGGACTCATAGAACTCACTGAAGTCTGTTGTACTTAAGGTTATGGTTTATTACAGGGAAGGGATGCAGGTCCCTTCTTCAACCAAGGGAAGAAATGCATAGGGTGGGGTCCCAGAAAGCAGCAAACGCAGAGCTTCCGGGTGTCCTCCTTCCATCAAGTCAGGACAGTGTTTCTTTCTCAGCATCGGCATGTGACAGTAAGTTCAGAGTATTGCCAGCCAGGGACACTCATGCAAGCCTTGTGTCCAGAGTTTTTACTGAGGCTTGATCACATACCACCTGCATGGTTGACCTTCAGTCACCAGCCCTTCTGGAGGTAGACCTGATACAATGTGGCTCAAAACCCCCTTCATAGATCTCGTTAGATTGTCCAGTGGCCAAAGCCCCAAGGCAAACAAAGACACTCCCATCAGGCAGGGCATTCTATGGAGATCACTTCCCAGAAGCTGAGGGTGGGGGCCAGCTGCTGCAAAGGCGCTCTTTGGTTGAGCGGGGTGGGGGGTGGGGGGTGGCGGGACCAGGGTGGGACCAGGGACCGGAATGTGGGGCAGGATGCAGAGTGGAGAGGCTCGCTCAGGTGAAGGCACTACTGTGTCACCATTGGCTCCTGGGTCCTGGCTCCAGGTGGGGAGAAGCAGTTTCTCTTTCTGGGGCAACAAATAAAATCCCTCCGGGCACAGGAGTGCTCATTGCTGGTTGGTTATGCCAGTCTGTCTCTATTTTTAGAAAGAACCACAAGAAGGAGGAAAAGAATCTAGAGAAATAAGTACAGTTGGTTCCTCCCTGAGGCAGAAGCTGGGTTCTGTGGGATGAAGCACAGATGCAAAGCCATTGTCCTGCCACCCAGCAGTGCAGTCGGAGATGGATGGCATGAATCTAGAATACCATGGGAATGGGTCCTTGCCCTGGGCCAGTAAACATTTGAGACTCAGAGCCAGGAGATAGGATGAGAAGATTGCAGTGATGAGACCCACAAAGGGCAGCAGCCATCTCTTAAGGGATCAACTTGGAGACCAAATCCATCACTTCTTGGAGGTCCAGTAGCCCCTGCACCCTCTGCGCTTTGCAGAGACATCCTGCAGTTCAGGGAAGAAACGGAGCTGAAGGGCATGTGGAAGAAGAATGTCACAGAGATGCAAGGGGTTGGATTATTGGTTGGCTTAAGGTCAAATCATTATTTGCTGCCTGAAGAAAAAAAAAGACCTTGCTTAGGGACAGAAGTACTTGTTCTGGTCTTAGGTCAGATGAGGGGGTAAAGCAACTCTTCCAACTGTCATGGAATTGGGTATTTTGCCACCAAAAATTTCATGATCCAATAATGATGATCATAATCAGTGAATGCTGGATTAAACTGAAAATAGTACAGGACTTCTCTGAGCCTTTACTATGAATTTGCCCATTAAATTCCCTAAAAGAGAAGGAGAAGCTATGCGTATTGAATATCTGTTAGTACCTGGAAAATCCAGTTTTCTGTTTTTCAGTATGGGGGAGAACAGAACCCCGCTTGAGGGTTGAAACAAATTCCTCTGAACACAGTATGGGGAATTCAGAAGAGATTAAAAGAACATATGATTGGAATTATTCAGATCTGGATGAGAAGCCTGGGCCAGCTGTTTGACTAGTGTACTAGTGTAACCCTGGTCAAGCAACCAAACTTCTTGGGTCTTAATTTTCTTATGTATAAGATGAGACTAATAATTCATATCTCAAAGTTATTGAGAGGAATAAATGAAATCAGGTAAGTAAAGAATCCTTAAAAGAGCCTGTAACATAGTAAGCATATAAGAAATGGATGGATGCATGGATGGATGGATGCCTGGATGGATGGTTAGATGGATGGTTAGATAGATGGAAGGATGGGTAGATAGATGGAAGGATGGGTAGATAGATGGATAGAATGATGGACGCCTGGATGGATAGGTAGATGGGTGGGTGGATGGATGGAAGGATGGGTAGATAGACGGATGGAATGATTAATCTTGGCCCACTACCTTAGCTAGATAGGGTCATTGTTCTAGCACATACCCAGACCATCAAGCATGAGTTTGTGTGTATGCACATGCTTGTGTGTGCACATATGTGCATAAATATATATGCAAGCACTCATGCATGAATTTTCCTGAACCTTTTCCAAAGACAGAAAAGTTAGAAGCTCTTCCACCATGCTTCCATAATATCCTGGCAGTGGCTATATCACAACTACTCCACTGCACTGTAACTGTTTCATAGCCCATCTATCTCTGCTAGAACACTAAGCATCCTGGACCACAAAGGTCATAGCCCAGTCCCTGCAACACCATGAATGCTTATAAAATCATTGTAAAATGATTCTTCTCAATTGTCTAGGCAGGTAGGGCCACTGCACCAGTGACATCTGAGAGGCCTGACCCGACCAGCCTATCAGTGTATCTTAACCCCTCTTGAGGGTCAAAACAAATTCCTCTGAACTCAGCACTCACTAGTGAGTTGGAGGAGGCTGATGACAGGGCTGGTGTCTAGAGTAGGATGAGATGAGCTCTGGGAGCCATAACAGTGCAGAGGTTCCTGCCATCAGCATTTCAGGGTATGGGCTGAGCATTTCAGCATTTCAGGGACTGGGCACAGCAGCTCACACCTGTCATCCCGGCACTTAAGGAGGCCAGGGCAGGCGGATCACCTGAGGCCAGGAGTACAAGATCAGCGTGGCCAACAGGGTGAAACCCTGTCTCTACTAAAACTATAAAAATTAGCCAGGCGTAGTGGCGGGCGCCCGTAATCCCAGCTACTTGGGAGGCTGAGGCAGGAGAATGGCTTGAACCCAGGAGGTGGAGGTTGCAGTGAGCCGAGATCACACCACTGCACTCCAGCCTGGGTGACAAGAGCGAGACTCTACCTCTAAATAAATAAAAAAATGTGCCACGGAAGCCTGCTCCGTACTCACCTCACCAAATGTCAGAGTCAGGGACACAGGGCATGCCCCACAGGGTGGGATGACAGGAAGTCCACCTGGGCCCTGACCCTCCTGACCGCCCCTCATCTGGGGGTACACTAACCCTTTCGGACTGCAGGGTGCCCTGAACATTAGGACTGTGGGGTACCCCAATCCTTTAGGACTGTGAGGTGCCCTGAACATCAGGGATGTGGGGTACCCCAACCATTTAGGACTATAGGCTGCCCTGAAATGACGGCCAGGGGGTACCCTGACCTTTTAGGGCTGTGGGACACACTGACTTCTTAAGACTACGGCTGGTGCCTACAGGAGTCCAAGGGATACCAGGCCTATGTGGGGAGGGGGCAGAGGTAGAAAAGCAATGGGGGAGGTGCGGGGCATCGGCTGTCCCTGCCCTGGAGAGGATGGGGCCAGCCAGGTAGGTGTGCAGCCAGGACCACTCAAGGACTCAAGGGAGAGATGCGGTCGGGGAGAGAGGAGTGGGGGACGGGGAGAGAGGAGGGGGGGATGGGGAGAGAGGAGGGGGGGACGGGGGGTGGGGAGAGAGGAAGGGGTGCCGGGGAGAGAGGAAGGGGTGCCGGGGAGAGAGGAAGGGGTGTCTGGGAGAGAGGAAGGGGTGTTGGGGAAAGAGGGGAAAGGGGACAGAGGGGGCGGGGACAGGAGCCGGAACCGGGGTCACACGTGGAAGGCCAGGACCCTGGGTCAGGAGTGGGAGCCAAGACCCGGGGTCACATGTGGGGCTGGCCACCTGACTGGAGTGTGGTCTTCAGTCATGCTGTCACCAGGCTGTGGGACCTCAGGGATGCAGTGAGGGAGCCAGGCCTCGGGGGCCCAGCCTGGATTCTGCCGACTCCCATCCCTCAGCCTCACCAAGAGGCCACTGACTTCGTCACTGCACAGAGATCCCATCCTGGGGTTCTGGGGCCTGTGCAGGAGAAACACAGGTGCAGGGCCACGTGCCCACACCGCTGGCATCTGTGCTCCACAACCAAACTCCTAGAGCCATCATCATCTCTGGGCTGCAGTGCCCGCCGGTGACAACTCCCTGACCACCTCGCTGTGGTCACACTCCTGTCCCCGTGGGTAGAAAATCCAGTGATGCGTGTAGACAAAGAGCCCTCTGCACACCTGGAACCCCAGCGCCTTGGGAGGCCCAGGTGGGGGGATCACCTGAGCTCAGGAGTTTGAGACCAGCCTGGGCAACATGGCAAAACCTCATCTCTAGGAAAAATTTAACCATCAGACGGACACGGTGGTGCACACCTGTAATCCCAGCTACTAGGAAGGCTGAGGCAGGAGAATCGCTTGAACCCGGGAGGCAGAGGTTGCAGTGAGCCGAGACCGCACCACTGCACTCCAGCCTGGGTGACAGAGCAAGACCCTGTTTCAAAAAAAAAAAAAAAAAAACCATTTAGCCATTTGCATGATGAGGACCATAGAGAATAAAAAATAAAATGAAAAGAATCTCAACAACTCACTCTCCAATTCCTTTAGGAAAATGAAATGAGAAACATACACATGTAAAGTATTTAGTATTCCCTGCAGTTTAAGAAACAGAATCCAGGGCCAGGCGAGGTGGCTCACGCCTGTCATCCCGGCACTTTGGGAGGCTGAGGCGGGTGGATCACCTGAGGTCAGGAGTTCGAGACCAGCCTGGCCAACATGCTGAAACCCCATCTCTACTAAAAGTACAAAAAGTAGTAGCCGGGTGTAGTGGCACATACCTGTAGTCCCAGCTACTCGGGAGGCTGATGCAGGAGAATCACTTGAACCCAGGAGGTGGAGCTTGCAGTGAGTCGAGATCGCGACACTGCACTCCAGCCTGGGTGGCAGAGCAAGACTCTGTCTCCAAAAAAGAAAAAAGAAAAAAAGAATCCTTGTCAGTCTACGGACAAGAATGCCAGTACCACACCATCATGATGAGGGTCACTTCTGTGGGACACACAAGACACAGCTCACACCTGCCCCTACACACAGCTATTTCTGACCCCAAACAGCGAGGCAGTCACTTCAGACCCAAAAGGAAGGTGAAGCCTGCGGCCCTGCACCATCCGCGTGCCACTGCACTGACTTAAAGTTTCTCACGGGCTGGGTGTGGTGGCTCACGCCTGTAATCCCAGCACTTGGTGACGCCGAGGCAGGTGGATCACCTGAGCTCGGGAGTTCGAGACCAGCCTGGCCAACATGGTGAAACTCTGTCTCTACTAAAAATACAAAAATTAGCCAGGCATGATGGCAGGCACCTGTAATCCCAGCTACTCCAGAGACTGAGGCAGGAGAATGGCTTGAACCCGACAGGTGGAGGTTGTAGTTAGCCGAGATCATACCACTGCACTCCAGCCTGGGTGACACGGCGAGGATCCATCTCAAAAAATAAATAAATAAATAAAGCTTCTCGTGAATGATGAAACCAAAATTACCATCGCGTCTGCACTGTATGGATCTGTCTGCTACAACCAGCAGGACCACAGCCAGGCTGCAACTCACTTTCTTTACAAAAAGCACCAGGGATGACCAGGAATTAGTCCCCACCAGGTGACACTCACAGCCTTACCCACACGTAGGAGCCCCACGGACATATGGATCAAATACAATACGAGAGACACACATCTCACCCCATTCTGTGCAGCCAACACAGTGCACATTCAGCATACGGTTTGGTTTGCTTTTTGTTTTTTTCTGAGACCGGGTCTCACTCTGCCTCCCAGGCTGGAGCGTGGTGGTGCAATCTCAGCTCACTGCAGCCTCCACCTTCTGGGCTCGAGTGATCTTCTCACCTCAGCTTCCTGTGTAGCCAGGACCACAGGTCCCACGCCCAGCTAATTTTTTTTTTAAGAGATAGGGTCTCACTATGTTGCCCAGGCTGGTCTTGAACTCCTGGGCTCAAGCAGCCCTCCCCATTTGGCCTCCCAAAGTGCTTGGCACAGGGTAGATTTTAAGTTAAAAATCTCACAAAACAGGCCGGGTGCAGTCTTATGCCTGGAATCCAGCACTTTGCAAGCCCGATTGGGGTGTTTTTTTTAGTAGAGATGGGTTTTCGCCACTGGAATCCAGCACTTTGGGAGGCCAAGTGGGGAGGGCTGCTTGAGTCCAGGAGTTTGAGACCAGCCTGCAGAGCATAGGCTCAGAGACTCTGTCTCCATGAAAAAAAGGCACACACACACACACACACATGCACACACACGCACAGGTGTGGTGGTGGACGCCTGTAGTCCCAGCTATTTAGGAGGCAGAGGTGGGAGGATTGCTTGAGCCCAGGTGGTAGAGGCTAAAGTGAGCTGTGATCACACCACTGCACTATCTAGCCTGGGCAACACAGCAGAAACGTGCCTCGAAAAATTAAACGTTTACAGGCCAGGCACGGTGGCTCACACCTGTAATCCCAGCACTTTGGGAGGCCAAGGTGGGTGAATCACCTGCAGTCAGAAGTTTGAGACCAGCATGACCAACATGGAGAAACCCCATCTCTACTAAAGATACAAAAAAATTAGCCGGGCATGGTGGTACATGCCCGTAATCCCAGCTACTCAGGAGGCTGAGGCAGGAGAATCGCTTCAACTCGGGAGGCAGAGGTTGCAGTGAGCTGAGATTGCGCCACTGCATTCCAGCCTGGGTGACAGAGCAAGACTCCGTCTAAAAAAAAAAAAAAAAAGTTTAGAAAACAATATACATAATATGAATTTTTTTTTCCTAAGACAGAATTTCGCTTGTTGCCCAGGCTGGAGTGCAGTGGTGCAATCTTGGCTCACCGCAATCTCCGCCGCCCAGATTCAAGCGTTTCTCCTGCCTCAGCCTCCCGAGTAGCTGGGATTACAGGCATGCACCACCATGCCTGGCTAATTTCTGTATTTTAGTAGAGACGGGGTTTTACCACATTGGCCAGGTTGGTCTCGAACTCCTGACCTCAGGTGATCCCCCTGCCTGGGCCTCTCAAAGTGCTGGGATGACAGGCGTGAGCCATTGTGCCTGGCCATGAATCCAGTTTTGATACAATTTTGAGAAACACAAATGTCTATATACAGACATACACAGGTATATCTATTATCCATGCATGCGTGCCTACACACACTCACAAATGTGTGTGTGCATGTGTGTATACTTATACATTTTGGTGATATTTGGTGATATTCTTCTAGCCCCATATAGGACTGCAGGAACATAACCAAATCTTTTTTTTTTTTTTTTTTTGAGATGGAGTCTTGCCCTGTCACCCAGGCTGGAGTGCAGTGGCACAATCTTGGCTCACTGCAACCTCCACATCCCAGGTTCACGCCATTCTCCTGCCTCAGCTTCCTGAGTAGCTGGGACTACAGGTGCCTGCCACCACGCCCGGCTAAATTTTTGTATTTTTAGTAGAGACAGAGTTTCACTGCGTTAGCCAGGATGGTCTCCATCTCCTGACCTCGTGATCCGCTCGCCTCGGCCTCCCAAAGTGCTGGGATTACAGGCTTGAGCCACTGCACCCGGACAACCAAATCTTAACAATGCTTATCTCAGGGCCGGGTGCAGTGGCTCACACCTGTCATCTCAGCACTTTGGGAGACCGAGGCAGGCGTATCACCTAGGTCAGGAGTTCGAGACCAGCCTGGCCAACATGGGGAAACCTCGTCTCTACTAAAAATATGAAATATTAGCTGGGCGTGGTGGTTGGTGCCTGTAATCCCAGCTACTCGGGAGGCTGAGGCAGGAGAATCGCTTGAACCCAGGAGGCAGAGGTTGCAGTGAGCCAAGGTTGTGCCATTGCACTCTGGCCTGGGCAATAAGAGCAAAACTCTGTCTCAAAAAAACAAAACAAAACAAAAAGAAAAACAAACTTGCAAACCTATTATAAAACAGCCACCCCCTGGCTGGGCACAGGGGCTCACGCCTGTCATCACAGCACTTTGGGAGGCCAAGGCGGGTGGATCACCTGAGTTCGGGAGTTTGAGACCAGCCTGGCCAGCATGGAGAAACCCCCATCTCTACTAAGAATACAAAATTAGCCAGGCGTGGTGGCAGGTGTCTGTAATCCCAGCTACTTGGGAGGCTGAGGCAGGAGAATCACTTGAACCCAGAAGGCAGAGGCTGCAGTGAGCCGAGATCTTGCCATCGCACTCCGGCCTGGGCAACAAGAGCAAAAGTCTGTCTCAAAAAAAAAAAAAAAAGAAAAAAAGAAAAACAAATTTTCAAACCTGTTATAAAACAGCCACCCCCTTGGCCTGACGTCATGCCTCACGCCTGTCATCCCAGCACTTTGGGAGGCTGATGCAGGCCTTGAGCTCAGGATTTTGAGACCAGCCTGGCCAACGTGGTAAAACCCTGTCTCTACCAAAAATACAAAAGTTAGCCAGGTGTGGTGGTGCATGTTTGTAATCCGAGCTAGCTGGAAGGCTGGGGTGGAAGGATGACTTGAACCTGGGATGCAGAGTTTGCAGTGAGCTGAGATCACGCCACTACACTCCAGCCTGGGTGAGCGAGTGAGACTCTGTCTCAAAAAAACAAACAACGGTCACTCCCAACCAACTCACATTAAACCGTTCTCTCAAGGGCTATGGATAAACAGTTCGAATTTTAAGAACACAGGCTGCCATGAGACATTTTAAATTTTTTTTGTCAGCAGAGGGTAGAAAGTTACAAAACTCAATGACAGGAAATTGCAAATTTCTAAGATTATAGTAGGCAAAATATCAACGTAATCTTTTTTTTTTTTTTTTTTTTTTGAGATGGAGTCTCACTGTCTCCCAGGCTGGAGTGCAGTGGCGCAATCTCAGCTCACTGCAAGCTCCACCTCCTGGGTTCACAACACTCTCCTGCCTCAGCCTCCCGAGTAGCTGGGACTACAGACGCCCGCCACTACGCCAGGCTAATTTTTTTGTATTTTTAGTAGAGACGGGGTTTCACCGTATTAGCCAGGATGGTCTCGATCTCCTGACCTTGTGGTCCGCCTGCCTCGGCCTCCCAAAGTGCTGGGATTACAGACTTGAGCCACTATGCCCGGCCTTTTTTTTTTTTTTTTAAACACTTGTGAAGGTACACAGGTAAATAATCAGATTTTTTTTTTTTTTTTTTGAGACGGAGTCTCGCTCTGTCACCCAGGCTGGAATACAACGGCATCGTCTCAGCTCACTGCAACCTCTGCCTCCTGGGTTCAAGCAATTCTCCCACCTCAGCCTCCAGAACAGCTGGGATTACAGCCATGGGCCACCACGCCTGGCTAATTTTTTGTATTTTTAGTAGATATAGGTTCTCACTATGTTGGCCAGGCTGGTCTCGAATTC